>NW_015148966.2:0-204999 GCF_000001405.40 Homo sapiens
GATCCTCCAGTTGATCCTACCACAGATGGTGCAGAAGGGGCTCTCGGGCAGATGGGGGTGGCCCCCGGAGGACGGTGGGCTTCGCCAGAGACGGAACAGTCCTAATGGAGGGAGGGCAGGGGCCCAAAGCCAGAGGCAGCTTCTCTTACCAGCCCAGACCCTGCTGGGGGCAGCCCTGCCCAACTGCAGATCCCAGGGGCCCACAGGGTGCAGATGTGGGTCGGGTGCCTACTAAGGGACTGGGGAGAGGCAAAAGCAGTGCTCAGGGACCAGCCTCTGTGCCTTGACAAGAACCGGTTTATTTGGAGTCTCTGACCGGGTGACGCCCTCTCCCAAGGACAGGCTGCTGGGGATGGGTGTGGTGCTGGTGGGGGCCTTCTGCCTGGCTGGGAGCGGGGGCGGCTGCCCTGCCCTCGCTGCCACCCTCTGCCCTCCCTGACTCTGGGGATCTCCTCTTCTCTGTGCTGGTGGCTGCCTGGGCCTCTTGCCCCCATCTCGGCACAGGTTTCCGTGCCCTCCTCGCCCCTGATGGGTCTGGTCGAGCGCCTGCTCTGTGGCTTCATCTGCAGGGTTCTGGGCCCAGCAGGGCTGGGGCCAAGTTCAGGGGCTGGGAGGTGTTGGACGGTGGGCAGGGGTGGTCGGGAGTGCCCTGTGTGCCTGGGAGGTCCGTGACCACTGTCCGCCTCAGTCCCTCTCTGCTGGCTCAGGGTCTGCAGGAGTGTGGTAGTCTGAGCCCCTGCTTGGCAGCCCCTCTCCAACCGGTGCCCCAGGGAGCCACGGCCCAGGGCACTTGGGGGCCAGGCCTGGTGACCAGGAAAGCAGCTGCTGGCACAAGCGGGAAGGGGGCTGGTGGGTGTTTTCCTGTCTGTCATCTGCAGTCCTTCAGCCCCAGGAGAGCAGGCAGCGACCCTGCTAGTCTCCACAGGCCACAGAGCTGCACACGCAGTGGCTGAACACCTGCAGGGTGAGTACGAGCCGCCGGCCAGGCGTGCTGGGATCGGGGCAGGGCAGCTCCAGCTGCTGCTCATAGGAGTGGAGGGGGCGGCAGCAGCTGCAGCGGGCATCCACCTGCTGGGTGATGATGTTGAAGCTGCCGAGAAGTCAAGACAGAGCAGGGTCATGACTGCTGCAGGGGCATAAGGCCCCTCCCTCCCCAGGGCAGCTGCTCCGCAGAGGCCTGGACCTCCCCGCTGAGCTCCCGGCTCACAGGGGCCAGGGCGGTGTTGGGCAGATGGAGCGCAGAGTGGCTCACCTGATGGGGCAGCAGGCGCCTGGGTGGGGTGCCCGAACCTCTCTGGGGTGGGGTTGTGAGCACCTTGGTGGACGTGGGGCAGGCCTCCCACCTGTGGACTCACCTGGCAGCGGAAATGCAGGCGCCCTCACAGCGGGTTACCGTCACGTTCGCCATGCACCCCTTGAACGTGATCTCCTCCTGCTGCTCCCGCACACTGCAGACCCCTGGTAGCCGAGTGGACGGTCAGCAGCGCCCAGGGTGGGCATGGAGCGAGGAGGGAGGGAAACCCTGGCTAGAGACCGGGGTCCCCACCTGTCTCTGGACTCTCCTGCCCAAGGTGTGGTCTCCCCTTGTGGAGCCCCACAGAGCTCAGACCTCAGCCATACACAAAGGCAAAGGCCAGCCGCATCCTAGTTTGTTTTTTCCCCTCAAAGTCGCTCTGCTGGAGTCCATAAGGTAGAGAATTTTCTCAGCGGACTCAGCAGATACTGAGCCCTGGGCCTGTGTGAGCCACCCTTGGGCCCCAGCTTCCCTGATGACCAACCCCAGGCCTCAACACTGACCTGTGGGCATGGGCCTCTCTGGTTGGCCAGACCCAGGACCTGCAGGGGGGCCGAGGACACCGTGCCAGTGACCCCAGAGCGGGACATATGGTGTTGCAGGAGCTCCGTGTGCCCCAGCTGGGGAGGAGGGAAGTGGAGCAGGCCCCGTGGTCTGGGCTCCTGGAAGGGGCGGGGTGGGGGCCCGCGGGGAAGGCCCAGAGACAGCCAGCCTCAGCGAGAGGCCTGGGTACGTGGCAGGCAGCACAGAGCAGGGTGGACCGATGCAGGCAGTGGCAGCGTTGGCATTAGAAACCGCCACTGGAGAGCGTGGGTTTAAAAGTGGAAAAGGAGTCCTGGGGTAAAGGCTGGACTCTGCTGCCCGTGTGCCCTCCCCTGGCTGCTCCCAGCTTCGTTTCCTGGCTGCAGAGAAGACAGGTCACCTGGAGCCTACCTGCCCGCTGCAGAGGGCTTTCTCCGGGAGGGTCAGGACTCTGGGTGCTTCCATAGGCCCTGCCGTCCCCAGCTGCCCTCCCCTCCCAGCTGGTTCCTGCTCCCTCGCCTCTGCTTCTTGGGGTCACCTCCCTGGTTACACCTTGCACCCAAGTCCCGGTCTCAGGGAGGGACCCGAACCAAGATTCCCTCAGCTTGCAGCAACGAGCTGCCACCCACGTGAGAGACCACGAAGGCAACTGTGGCGTTGTCGCCTGGTGGAGGTCGATGCATGCGAGGGACCCAGTCCCTGGGTGGTTGCTGTGAGAGGAACACCCAGGAGGGAAGGGAGGGACATCCCTGGAACGCGAGGTGAGGTGAGGTGGACATGGATAAGGCCTGAGGTGTGCTCTGTCCCCAGGCATCCCATGGCCTGGGGAGCAGTGGACTCGCTCACAGGCATGGGCCGGGAAGAGCCGTGGCCCAGAGAATTGGCATGAGCACGAAGGAGCAGGTGCCCTGGTTGCCAGGTCCAGCTCCACCTTCAACAGGTCCTTTGGGGCGAGGCAGGGGATGTGCCAGACTTTTGTGTCTCTCTCTGCACTTGGAGGAAGGGCTGTGCTGCTTGAACCCTGGGGTTGGGCCAGCCCTGACATCCTCTGAGCAACCAAAGGGGCAGCCAGGGAAGGCTTTTGGCAGGTAACACTCTGAGGGGAGGCCAGGAGTGCAGCAGTGACCGGGCATGAGTGAGCCAGTGCAGGGAAAGGTCAAGGTTAGCTGGGGAACAAGGCCCAACGGGGAGGCCAGGCACTTGCTTGGCCAGGACAGCGTTGGCATAGAGGGTGCCCAGGAGAGGAGAGTGGAAACGCCTGGCAGGTGTGTAGGGAAGGCAGGGAACAGGCGTGTGGTCCTGGGATCACAGGACCATGAGGGGTAAGCTGAGGCAGGGGCTGCCTGGGAGTCATGAGCACAGAGGTGAGGCCAGGAGAAGGGCCACAGAGATGCCACTTACCGGGTGAGGTGGGCGTAGGTGTCCCGAGAGAAGATACCGGGGCAGAAGCAGGGGTGCTTCCATGGGCAGTGAGGGAGCTGGTCAGGAACCGTGTGGTAGGCGACAAGGTGGGACCAGGGTGCCTGGTGGTAAGGTTGGTGACTGGAGAGGTGGGGATACCCGTCACCCCCGAGGTGAGTGACACAAAGCCTGATGTGGGAACTCGGGTGGTGAGAGAAGTGGACCGCGAGGTGGTGGACTGAGAGGAGAAGGCAGGGGCGGTGTGGGTGCTGGCCGTGGTCCTGGGCGTGGACGGAAATGCAATGGTGCTGGAGGCTAGGTGGCTGGATGGGGTGGGAGACACGGTAACAGTGGATATGGGGAGTAGAGCAGAGAGGGTGAAAGGAGAGGAGATAGTGTGGGGGAGAGTGGCCCTAATGGTAGTAGAGGCAGCTGGAGAAGAAGGAAAAAGAGGAGATGCAGACACTGATGCAGTCGTGGGATGAGTGGACAATGAGGAGTGTGACCCCGAGCTCAGGGTTGTGGAGTGCACGGGGGCGGACACGAAAGAGGAAGATGTGCCAACAGAAGGCGATGAAGTCTGGGGAGAGGAGTGGGAGGAGGGCACATAAGAAGAAACAGTAGAGGGGGCAGAAGGACTGGGAGAAAATGAGGAGGACAGCTGATTAGTTGTGGAAACAGGAGTGGTTGCAGAACTCAAGTGGGGGAGTTGTGTGGTGATAGGTGATGACGGTGGCCTTGAGCTAGAGTTCTGAGGCAGCCAAGACGAGGAGGATATGAAGGAAGAAGAGGCTGTAGCTGTGCTGAATGAGCTGTGGGTTTGGCTGGTCCCACTGGTGGTCACTGTCATTGGTGGGGCTGTGTGGGTGGACCCTGTGGCCTTGAGCGTTGTTGGTGGAGGAACGGTGCCTGTTGGCGTTGAGTGGATGGAGGCAGAAGTGGCCATCTGTGTGTGGGTAGTGATGATGACTGTGTGAGTACTTGGAGTCACCAAGGAGGTGGAGAAAGGTGGAACGTGAGTGGGAAGTGTGGTCTGAGGGTGTGATGGGGTTGGATAGGTAGTGGTGGTCTGGAAGGATGTTGCAGTCATAGGACCTGTGGAAGAGAAGGGACTGCTCCCTGTAGGTGGGGAGTGTGTGGTGAAGGGTGTGGGTAGCCTGCTGCTGCTGGCCGAGGTGGTGTGGGCCACAGGGGTTCTGGTGCCTGTACTGGTGTGTTTGGGGGTGATGTTGGTGGTAGAAGTTGGGGTGACTTCAGGATGGTGTGTTGAGGAAGTGTGGTAAGGTAGGGATGTAGAAGTTTTGGCCGTGCTAAATGAGCTTGGGGATTGGCTGGTCCCACTGGTGGTCGGTGTCATTGGTGGGGCTGTGTGGGTGGACCCTGTGGCCTTGATCGTGGTCGGTGGAGGAATGGTGCCTGTTGGCATTGAGTGGATGGAGGCAGAAGTGGCCATCTGTGTGTGGGTAGGGATGATGACCGTGTGAGTACTTGGAGTCACCAAGGAGGTGGAGAAAGATGGAACGTGAGTGGGAAGTGTGGTGTGAGGGTGTGATGGGGTTGGATAGGTAGTGGTGGTCTGGAAGGATGTTGCAGTGACAGGACCTGTGGAAGAGATGGGAGTGGTCCCTGTAGGTGGGGAGTGTGTGGTGAAGGGTGTGGGTAGCCTGCTGCTGGTGGCCGACGTGGTGTGGGCCACAGGGGTTCTGGTGCCTGTACTGGTGTGGTTGGGGGTGATGCTGGTGGTAGAAGTTGAGGTGACTTCAGGATGGTGTGTGGAGGAAGTGTGTGAATGTAGGGATGTAGAGGTTTTGGCCGTGCTAAATGAGCTTCGGGATTGGCTGGTCCCACTGGTGGTCACTGTCATTGGTGGGGTTCCTGTACTGGTGGGGTTGGGGGTGATGTTGGTGGTAGAAGTTGAGGTGGCTTCAGCATGGTGTGTGGAGGAAGTGTGTGAATGTAGGGATGTAGAGGTTTTGGCTGTGTTTAATGAGCTCAGGGCTTGGCTGGTCCCGCTGGTGGTCAGCGTCATTGTTGGCGCTGTGTGGGTGGACCCTGTGGCCTTGAGCGTTGTCGGTGGAGGAATCGTGCCTGTTGGCATTGAGTGGATGGAGGCAGAAGTGGCCATCTGTGCATGGGTAGGGGTGATGACTGTGTGAGTACTTGGAGTCACCAAAGAGGTGGAGAAAGGTGGAACGTGAGTGGGAAGTGTGGTCTGAGGGTGTGATGGGGTTGGATAGGTAGTGGTGGTCTGGAAGGATGTTGCAGTCATAGGACCTGTGGAAGAGAAGGGACTGCTCCCTGTAGGTGAGGAGTGTGTGGTGAAGGGTGTGGTTAGCCTGCTGCTGGTGGCTGAGGTGGTGTGGGCCACAGGGGTGCCGGTTCCTGGACTGGTGGGATTGGGGGTGATGGTGGTAGAAGTTGGGGTGACTTCAGGAAGGTGTGTGGAGGAAGTTTGTGAATGTAGGGATGTAGAGGTTTTGGCTGTGTTGAATGAGCTCAGGGCTTGGCTCGTCCCGCTGGTGGTCGGCGTCATTGTTGGCGCTGTGTGGGTGGACCCTGTGGCCTTGAGCGTTGTTGGTGGAGGAACGGTGCCTGTTGGCGTTGAGTGGATGGAGGCAGAAGTGGCCATCTGTGTGTGGGTAGTGATGATGACTGTGTGAGTACTTGGAGTCACCAAGGAGGTGGAGAAAGGTGGAAGGTGAGTGGGAAGTGTGGTCTGAGGGTGTGATGGGGTTGGATAGGTAGTGGTGGTCTGAAAGGATGTTGCAGTCATAGGACCTGTGGAAGAGATGGGACTGCTCCCTGTAGGTGGGGAATGTGTGGTGAAGGGTATGGGTAGCCTGCTGCTGGTGGCCGAGGTGGTGTGGGCCACAGGGGTTCTGGTGCCTGTACTGGTGTGGTTGGGGGTGATGGTGGTGGTAGAAGTTGGGGTGACTTCAGGATGATGTGTTGAGGAAATGTGTGAATGTAGGGATGTAGAAGTTTTGGCCGTGCTAAATGAGCTTGGGGATTGGCTGGTCCCACTGGTGGTTGCCGTCATTGGTGGGGCTGTGTGGGTGGACCCTGTGGCCTTGATCGTGGTCGGTGGAGGAATAGTGCCTGTTGGCATTGAGTGGATGGAGGCAGAAGTGGCCATCTGTGCGTGGGTAGGGGTGATGACTATGTGAGTACTTGGAGTCACCAAGGAGGTGGAGAAAGATGGAACGTGAGTGGGAAGTGTGGTGTGAGGGTGTGATGGGGTTGGATCGGTAGTGGTGGTCTGGAAGGATGTTGCAGTGACAGGACCTGTGGAAGAGATGGGAGTGGTCCCTGTAGGTGGGGAGTGTGTGGTGAAGGGTGTGGGTAGCCTGCTGCTGGTGGCCGACGTGGTGTGGGCCACAGGGGTTCTGGTGCCTGTACTGGTGTGGTTGGGGGTGATGCTGGTGGTAGAAGTTGAGGTGACTTCAGGATGGTGTGTGGAGGAAGTGTGTGAATGTAGGGATGTAGAGGTTTTGGCCGTGCTAAATGAGCTTCGGGATTGGCTGGTCCCACTGGTGGTCACTGTCATTGGTGGGGTTCCTGTACTGGTGGGGTTGGGGGTGATGTTGGTGGTAGAAGTTGAGGTGGCTTCAGCATGGTGTGTGGAGGAAGTGTGTGAATGTAGGGATGTAGAGGTTTTGGCTGTGTTTAATGAGCTCAGGGCTTGGCTGGTCCCGCTGGTGGTCGGCGTCATTGTTGGCGCTGTGTGGGTGGACCCTGTGGCCTTGAGCGTTGTCGGTGGAGGAATCGTGCCTGTTGGCATTGAGTGGATGGAGGCAGAAGTGGCCATCTGTGCATGGGTAGGGGTGATGACTGTGTGAGTACTTGGAGTCACCAAAGAGGTGGAGAAAGGTGGAACGTGAGTGGGAAGTGTGGTCTGAGGGTGTGATGGGGTTGGATAGGTAGTGGTGGTCTGGAAGGATGTTGCAGTCATAGGACCTGTGGAAGAGAAGGGACTGCTCCCTGTAGGTGAGGAGTGTGTGGTGAAGGGTGTGGTTAGCCTGCTGCTGGTGGCTGAGGTGGTGTGGGCCACAGGGGTGCCGGTTCCTGTACTGGTGGGATTGGGGGTGATGGCGGTAGAAGTTGGGGTGACTTCAGGAAGGTGTGTGGAGGAAGTTTGTGAATGTAGGGATGTAGAGGTTTTGGCTGTGTTGAATGAGCTCAGGGCTTGGCTCGTCCCGCTGGTGGTCGGCGTCATTGTTGGCGCTGTGTGGGTGGACCCTGTGGCCTTGAGCGTTGTTGGTGGAGGAACGGTGCCTGTTGGCGTTGAGTGGATGGAGGCAGAAGTGGCCATCTGTGTGTGGGTAGTGATGATGACTGTGTGAGTACTTGGAGTCACCAAGGAGGTGGAGAAAGGTGGAAGGTGAGTGGGAAGTGTGGTCTGAGGGTGTGATGGGGTTGGATAGGTAGTGGTGGTCTGAAAGGATGTTGCAGTCATAGGACCTGTGGAAGAGATGGGACTGCTCCCTGTAGGTGGGGAATGTGTGGTGAAGGGTATGGGTAGCCTGCTGCTGGTGGCCGAGGTGGTGTGGGCCACAGGGGTTCTGGTGCCTGTACTGGTGTGGTTGGGGGTGATGGTGGTGGTAGAAGTTGGGGTGACTTCAGGATAGTGTGTGGAGGAAGTGTGTGAATGTAAGGATGTAGAGGTTTTGCCTGTGCTAAATGAGCTTGCGGATGGGCTGGTCCCACTGGTGGTCACTGTGATTGGTGGGGCTGTGTGGGTGGACCCTGTGACCTTGAGCGTTGTTAGTGGAGGAATGGTGCCTGTTGGCGTTGAGTGGATGGAGGCAGAAGTGGACATCTGTGCATGGGTAGGGGTGATGACCTTGTGAGTACTTGGAGTCACCAAGGAGGTGGAGAAAGGTGGAATGTGAGTGGGAAGTGTGGTCTGAGGGTGTGATGGGGTTGGATAGGTAGTGGTGGTCTGAAAGGATGGTGCAGTCATAGGACCTGTGGAAGAGATGGGACTGCTCCCTGTAGGTGGGGAATGTGTGGTGAAGGGTGTGGGTAGTCTGCTGCTGGTGGCCGAGGTGGTGTGGGCCACAGGGGTTCTGGTGCCTGTACTGGTGTGTTTGGGGGTGATGTTGGTGGTAGAAGTTGGGGTGACTTCAGGATGGTGTGTGGAGGAAGTGTGGTAAGGTAGGGATGTAGAAGTTTTGGCCGTGCTAAATGAGCTTAGGGATTGGCTGGTCCCACTGGTGGTCGGTGTCATTGGTGGGGCTGTGTGGGTGGACCCTGTGGCCTTGATCGTGGTCGGTGGAGGAATGGTGCCTGTTTGCATTGAGTGGATGGAGGCAGAAGTGGCCATCTGTGCGTGGGTAGGGGTGATGACTATGTGAGTACTTGGAGTCACCAAGGAGGTGGAGAAAGATGGAACGTGAGTGGGAAGTGTGGTCTGAGGGTGTGATGGTGTTGGATAGGTAGTGGTGGCATGGAAGGATGTTGCAGTGACAGGACCTGTGGAAGAGATGGGAGTGGTCCCTGTAGGTGGGGAGTGTGTGGTGAAGGGTGTGGTTAGCCTGCTGCTGGTGGCTGAGGTGGTGTGGGCCACGGGTGTCCAGGTTCCTATACTGGTGGGGTTGAGGGTGATGTTGGTGATAGAAGTTGGGGTGACTTCAGGATGGTGTGTGGAGGAAGTGTGTGAATGTAGGGATGTAGAGGTTTTGGCTGTGTTGAATGAGCTTGAGGCTTGGCTGGTCCCACTGGTGGTTGGCATCATTGGTGGGGCTGTGTGGGTGGACCCTGTGGCCTTCAGCGTTGTCGGTGGAGGAATGGTGCCTGTTGGCATTGAGTGGATGGAGGCAGAAGTGGTCATCTGTGCGTGGGTAGGGGTGATGACTGTGTGAGTACTTGGAGTCACCAAGGAGGTGGAGAAAGATGGAACGTGAGTGGGAAGTGTGGTCTGAGGGTGTGATGGTGTTGGATAGGTAGTGGTGGCATGGAAGGATGTTGCAGTGACAGGACCTGTGGAAGAGATGGGACTGCTCCCTGTAGGTGGGGAGTGTGTGGTGAAGGGTGTGGTTAGCCTGCTGCTGGTGGCTGAGGTGGTGTGGGCCACAGGGGTGACGGTTTCTGTACTGGTGGGATTGGGGGTGATGGTGGTAGAAGTTGGGGTGACTTCAGGATGGTGTGCAGAGGAAGTGTGTGAATGTAAGGATGTAGAGGTTTTGGCTGTGCTGAATGAGCTCGGGGCTTGGCTGGTCCCACTGGTGGTCGGCGTCATTGGTGGGGCTGTGTGGGTAGACCCTGTGGCCTTGAGCGTTGTTGGTGGAGGAATGGTGCCTGTTGGCGTTGAGTGGATGGAGGCAGAAGTGGACATCTGTGCGTGGGTAGTGGTGATGACTGTGTGAGTACTTGGAGTCACCAAGGAGGTGGAGAAAGGTGGAATGTGAGTGGGAAGTGTGGTGTGAGGGTGTGATGGGGTTGGATAGGTAGTAGTGGTCTGGAAGGATGTTGCAGTCATAGGACCTGTGGAAGAGAAGGGACTGCTCCCTGTAGGTAAGGAGTGTGTGGTGAAGGGTGTGGGTAGCCTGCTGCTGGTGGCTGACGTGGTGTCGGCCACAGGGGTGCCGGTTTCTGTACTGGTGGGTTTGGGGGTGATGGTGGTAGAAGTTGGGGTGACTTCAGGATGGTGTGTGGAGGAAGTGTGTGAATGTAGGGATGTAGAGGTTTTGGCTGTGCTGAATGAGCTCAGGGCTTGGCTGGTCCCACTGGTGGTCGGCGTCATTGGTGGGGCTGTGTGGGTGGACCCTGTGGCCTTGAGCGTTGTCAGTGGAGGAATGGTGCCTGTTGGCGTTGAGTGGATGGAGGCAGAAGTGGCCATCTGTTGATGGGTTGGGGTGATGACTGTGTGTGTACTTGGAGTCACCAAGGAGGTGGAGAAAGGTGGAATGTGAGTGGGAAGTGTGGTCTGAGACTGTGATGTGGTTGGATAGGTAGTGGTGGTCTGGAAGGATGTTGCAGTGACAGGAGCTGTGGAAGAGATGGGACTGCTCCCTGTCGGTGGGGAGTGTGTGGTGAAGGGTGTGGGTAGCCTGCTGCTGGTGGCCGAAGTGGTGTGGGCCACAGGGGTCCTGGTGCCTGTACTGGTGTGGTTGGGGGTGATGTTGGTGGTAGAAGTTGGGGTGACTGCAGGATGGTGTGTGGAGGAAGTGTGTGAATGTAGGGATGTAGAAGTTTTGGCTGTGCTGAATGAGCTTGGGGCTTGCCTGGTCCCACTGGTGGTCGGCGTCATTGGTGGGGCTGTGTGGGTGGACCCTGTGGCCTTGAGCGTTGTCGGTGGAGGAATGGTGCCTGTTGGCGTTGAGTGGATGGAGGCAGAAGTGGACATCTGTGCATGGGTATGGGTGATGACTGTGTGAGTATTTGGAGTCACCAAGGAGGTGGAGGAAGGTGGAACGTGAGTGGGAAGTGTGGTGTGAGAGTGTGATGGGGTTGGATAGGTAGTGGTGGTCTGGAAGGATGTTGCAGTGACAGGACCTGTGGAAGAGATGGGACTGCTTCCTGTAGGTGGGGAGTGTGTGGTGAAGGGTGTGGGTAGCTTGCTGCTGGTGGCCGAGGTGGTGTGGGCCACAGGGGTTCTTGTGCCTGTACTGGTGTGTTTGGGGGTGATGTTGGTGGTAGAAGTTGGGGTGACTTCAGGATGGTGTGTGGAGGAAGTGTGGTAAGGTAGGGATGTAGAAGTTTTGGCCATGCTAAATGAGCTTGGGGATTGGCTGGTCCCACTGGTGGTCGGCGTCATTGGTGGGGCTGTGTGGATGGACCCTGTGGCCTTGAGCGTTGTTGGTGGAGAAATGGTGCCTGTTGGCGTTGAGTGGATGGACGCAGAAGTGGCCATCTGTGCGTGGGTAGGGGTGATGACTGTGTGAGTACTTGGAGTCACCAAGGAGGTGGAGAAAGATGTAACGTGAGTGGGATGTGTGGTCTGAGGGTGTGATGGTGTTGGATAGGTAGTGGTGGCATGGAAGGATGTTGCAGTGACAGGACCTGTGGAAGAGATGGGAGTGCTCCCTGTAGGTGGGGAGTGTGTGGTGAAGGGTGTGGTTAGCCTGCTGCTGGTGGCTGAGGTGGTGTGGGCCACAGGTGTCCCAGTTCCTGTACTGGTGGGGTTGGGGGTGATGTTGGTGGTAGAAGTTGAGGTGGCTTCAGGATGGTGTGTGGAGGAAGTGTGTGAATGTAGGGATGTAGAGGTTTTGGCTGTGTTTAATGAGCTCAGGGCTTGGCTGGTCCCGCTGGTGGTCAGCGTCCTTGTTGGCGCTGTGTGGGTGGACCCTGTGGCCTTGAGCGTTGTCGGTGGAGGAATGGTGCCTGTTGGCGTTGAGTGGATGGAGGCAGAAGTGGCCATCTGTGTGCGGGGAGGGGTGATGACTGTGTGAGTACTTGGAGTCACCAAGGAGGTGGAGAAAGGTGGAACGTAAGTGGGAAGAGTGGTCTGAGAGAGTGATGGTGTTGGATAGGTAGTGGTGGTCTGGAAGGATGTTGCAGTCATAGGACCTGTGGAAGAGACAGGACTGCTCCCTGTAGATGGGGAGTGTGTGGTGAATGGTGTAGTTAGCCTGCTGCTGGTGGCTGAGGTAGTGTGGGCCATGGGTGTGCTGCTTCCTATACTGGTGGGGTTGGTGGTGATTTTGGTGGTAGCAGTTGGGGTGACTTCAGGATGGTGTGTGGAGGAAGTGTGTGAATGTAAGGATGTAGAGGTTTTGGCTGTGCTGAATGAGCTCGCGGCTTGGCTCGTCCCACTGGTGGTCGGCGTCACTGGTGGGGCTGTGTGTGTGGACCCTGTGTTCATGAGCGTTGTCAGTGGAGGAATGGTGCCTGTTGGCGTTGAATGGATGGAGGCGGAAGTGGCCATCTGTGCGTGGGTAGGGGTGATGACTGTGTGAGTACTTGGAGTCACCAAGGAGGTGGAGAAAGGTGGAACGTGAGTGGGAAGTGTGGTCTGAGGGTGTGATGGGGTTGGATATGTAGTGGTGGTCTGGAAGGATGTTGCAGTCATAGGACCTGTGGAAGAGATGGGACTGCTCCCTGTAGGTGGGGAGTGTGTGGTGAAGGGTGTGGTTAGCCTGCTGCTGGTGGCTGAGGTGGTGTTTGCCACAGGCGTTCTGATGCCTGTATTGGTGGGGTTGGGGGTGATGGTGGTGGTAGAAGTTGGGGTGACTTCAGGATGGAGTGTTGAAGAAGCATGTGAGTGTAGGGATGTGGAGGTTTTGGCTGTGCTGAAAGAGCTGTGCGCTTGGCTGGTCCCGCTGGTGGTCACTGTCATTCGTGGTGCTGTGTGCGTGGACCCTGTGCCTGTGGCCTTTACCGTTGTAGGTGGAGGAATGGTGCCTGTTGGTGTTGAGTGGATGGAGGCAGAAGTGGACACTTGTGCGTGGGTAGGGGTGATGACTGTGTGAGTACTTGGAGTCACCAAGGAGGTGGAGAAAGGTGGAATGTGAGTGGGAAGTGTGGTCTGAGGGTGTGATGGGGTTGGATGGGTAGTGGTGGTCTGGGAGGATGTTGCAGTCATAGGACCTGTGGAAGAGACATGACTGCTCCCTGTAGGTGGGAAGTGTGTGGTGAAGGTTGTGGGTAGCCTGCTGCTGGTGGCCAAGGTGGTGTGGGCCACAGGGGTGCTGGTTCCTGCACTAGTGGACTTGGGAGTAATGTTGGTGGTAGAAGTTGGTGTGGTTTCAGGATGGTGTGTGGAGGAAGCATGTGAGTGGAGAGATGTAGAAGTTTTGGCTGTGCTGAATGAGTTGTGAGCTTTGCTTGTCTGAATAATGGTCCCCGTCATTGGTGGGCCTGTGTGTGTCGACCCTGTGGGCATGCGCGTTGTCAGTGGAGGAACGGTGCCTGTTGGCGTTGAGTGGATCGAAGCAGAAGTGGACATTTGTGCGTGGGTAGGGGTGATGACTGTGTGAGTACTTGGAGTGACTGATGAGGTGGAGAAAGGTGGAACATGAGTGGTAAGTGTGGTCTGAGGGTGTGATGGGGTTGGATAGGTCGTGGTGGTCTTGATGGATGTTGCAGTCATAGGACCTGTGGAAGAGATGGGACTGCTCCCTGTAGGTGGGGAGTGTGTGGTGAAGGGTGTGGGTGGCCTGCTGCTGGTGGCCAAGGTGGTGTGGGCCACAGGGGTGCTGGTTCCTGCACTAGTGGACTTGGGAGTAATGTTGGTGGTAGAAGTTGGTGTGGTTTCCGGATGGTGTGTGGAGGAAGCATGTGAGAGGATGGATGTAGAGGTTTTGGCTATGCTGAATGAGCTGTGGGCTTGGGTGGTCCGAATGGTTGTCCCCGTCATTGGTGAGGCTGTGTGTGTGGACCCTGTGGCCGTGAGCGTTGTCAGTGGAGGAATGGTACCTGTTGGCGTTGAGTGGATCGAGGCAGAAGTGGACATCTGTGCATGGGTAGGGGTGATGACTGTGTGAGTACTTGGAGTCACTGACGAGCTGGAGAAAGGTGGAACGTGAGTGGGAAGTGTGGTCTGAGGGTGTGATGTGGTTGGATAGGTAGTGGTGGTCTTGAAGGATGTTGGAGTCATAGGACCTGTGGGAGAGAGGGGACTGCTCTCTGTAGGTGGGGAGTGTGTGGTGAAGGGTGGTGGTGGCCTGCTGCTGGTGGCTGAGGTGGTGTGGGCCACAGGGGTTCCGGTGCCTGTACTAGTGGGGTTGGGAGTAATGGTGGTGGTAGAATTTGTGGTGATTTCTGGATGGTGTGTGGAGGAAGCATGGGAGAGGAGGGATGTAGAGGTTTTGGCTGTGCTGAAGGAGCTGTGGACTTGGCTGGTCCTACTGGTGGTCACTGTTATTAGTGGGGCTGTGTGTGTGGACCCTGTGGCCATGAGCGTTGTCAGTGGAGGAATGGTGCCTGTTGACGTTGAGTGGTTGGAGGCAGAAGTGGACATCTGTGGGTGGGTTGGGGTGATGACTGTGTGAGTACTTGGAGTCACCGATGAGGTGGAGAAAGGTGGAACATGAATGGGAAGTGTGATGTGAGCTTGTGATGGGGTTGGATAGGTAGTGGTGGTCTTGAGAGATGTTGCAGTCATACGACCTGTGGAAGAGAGGGGACTGCTCCTGGTAGGTGAAGAGTGTGTTGTGATGGGTGTGGGTGGCCTGCTACTGGTGGCCGAGGTGGTGTGGGTCACAGGGGTGCTGGTGCCTCTACTGGTGGACTTGGGAGTCACGTTGGTGGTAGAAGTTGGGGTGACTTCAGGATGGTGTGTGGAGGAAGCATGTGAGTGGAGGGATGTAGAGGTTTTGGCTGTGCTGATTGAGCTGTGGGCTTGGCTGATCCTACTGGTGGTTGCCGTCATTAGTGGGGCTGTGTAGGTGGACCTTGTGGCCTTAACTGTTGTTGGTGGAGCAATCGTGCCTGTTGGCGTTGAGTGGATATAGGCAGAAGTGGACATCTGTGGGTGGGTAGGGGTGATGACTGTGTGAGTAATTGGAGTCACCAAAGAGGTTGAGAAAGGTGGAACGTGAGTGAGAAGAGTGGTCTGAGGGAGTGATGGGGTTGGATAGGTAGTGGTGGTCTTGAAGGATGTTGCCGTCATGGGACCTGTGGAAGAGAAGGGACTGCTCCCTGTAGGTGGGGAGTGTGTGGTGAAGGGTGGTGGTGGCCTGCTGCTGGTGGCTGAGTTGGTGTGGGCCACAGGGGTTCTGGTGCGTGTACTAGTGGGGTTGGGAGTAATCGTGGTAGTAGAAGTTGGGGTGACTTCAGGATGGTGTGTGGAGGAAGTGTGTGAATGTAGCGAGGTAGGTGTTTTGTTTGTGCTGAATGAGCTGTGGGCTTGGCTGGTCCCACTGGTGGTCGGCGTTATTGGTGGGGCTGTGTGGGTGGACCCTGTGGCCTTGAGCGTTGTTGGTGGAGGAATGGTACCTGTTGGCGCTGAGTGGTTGGAGGCAGATGTGGCCATCTGTGCGTGGGTAGGGGTGATGACTGTGTGAGTACTTGGAGTCACCAAGGAGGTGGAGAAAGGTGGAACGTGAGTGGGAAGTGTGGTCTCAGGGTGTGATGGGGTTGGATAGGTAGTGGTGGCATGGAAAGATGTTGCAGTGACAGGACCTGTGGAAGGGACGGGACTCCCCGCCGTAGGCGGGGAGTGTGTGGTGTGTGGGGTTTGGGGCGTTGTGTATTCAGTAGTCGTTCTTGTTTGAGTGGTCTCTGTGGCTGTGGGCCTCGTGGGTTGTCCTGGCTGTGGGGTGGTTGGGCCTGTGGTGCTTGCTGGGGTTGGACGTGGGCCTGTCGTCTGGGTGGCCGTTGTTCCTGGCAGTTCCTGATTGGTCGATTTTGCTGTGGGAATTGGTGAAGTTGTCATCGTTATTGTTTTTGTTTCTCTACCCTGACCTCCGCTGGCCCGTCCTTTTGTCTATGTGACCTTTTTCTTGCCTGTCTGTGCCTCTGTTCCTGTGACATGGCCCCTGCTGGGCACTCCAGCCTGCCCCATTGTCTCCATCTCACCTGGACTTGCTCCACATCCTGCCCTGAGCTGCGTGCTGACTCCTTCAGTGCAGCTGCCGCTCTGTGACTGGAACCCAGGCCCTACTTTATCCCCTTCTGGTTCCCTGTGGCCGTGGTGGTGGCCCCCACCCTCCTGCACCTCTGCTCCCCAGGCCTGCCTTTGTGAGTGCCAGGCGGCCTTCCTTGCCTCCAGCTCCAGCCTACACTTTTGGGCTGCCTTCTCGCTTGCCCTCTGGGAAATACGGGGTCTTCTTTATGGCTGAATCACTGAATGTGAGCTGGTGGTGGGACCGGGTGCCTTCGGCAGTGCTGGCATCCCATGGCGCCATGACTTACGCAGCGTGGGGCTTGTCCCTGATGTGGCTGGGGTTGGTAGTGTCATTGTGGTCCGTGTTGTGGACTGAGCTGTGGACGTCGTGGCTGGGCTGGCGGTCGACGCCGTGGCCCTGGTTGTGGCCTGGGTCACTGTGGGTTTTGTGGCTGTCGATCTCAGTGTGGCTGTGGGAGGCAGCCCTGATGTGGCTTGTGGGGTGACGGCCGTGGTTGGTCTAGGTGGTTCTGCAGAGGACAGCCGCCCGGAACATCCCCTTGCTGTGGGCCTGCATTTCGAAGGCTTGTGTCCCAGCCCCCTGCCCTGCTTCTGGGATCCCTGGCCTGCTGTCCGGGACTCAGCCTCCTTGGAGGGGCTCTTCCTCTTGCCTTTGTTAGGTCCTCCCACCGTACTCCTGGCTGTGGTGGCCAGAGCTGGGGCAGTGACCACATGCTTATGGGGCTGCGGCTGCTCCTGCGCCCACCCTTGCTTAGCTGAACGGACTGTCGTCCTGTCCCCTCCAGGGTCCCTGGGCAGCAGATGGGGCCCTGCTCGGTGTGGGGCAGGGGCAGGCTGCCTGGCAGAGGCCCTGCAGGTCCCACACGGTTTCTAGTGACAGCAGCCAGCAGCAAGGAATGCCCCATGCCATGACCAGCTTGTCTTTAAAAGTTTTTCCGAAAAATCCCCAGTTTGGCTCCCAAGCATAGGAAGTTCTACGCTGGGAATCTGCTTAGTGGCAGATGTGAGCCAGGAAGCAGGGCCATCCCTAAGCCCACCCCAGAGGTGTACCTAGGACCTCCTGCAGCTGCCCTCTCCATGGGCTCAGCTGGAGGCTCCTTACCTCCCGAGGAGGCTGTGGGCTTGGAGGATGTGAGCGTGGCTGGAAGGAGGGGTGTCTGGGTGGGGCTGGCAGGGGTGTGATTAGAGCTGGGTGAGGGTCCGGTGGAGCTGAGAAGCCCGATGGTGGTGGAGGTTCCCGTCATGGGCCAGACTTGCGTGGGCCGTGAGCCTGGGTGGGCGGACATGCCATCAGGGCTGCAGGGTACCGGCATATCCTTGGGGAGCACCCTCCCCTCTGCCTGCTTGGCCCTGAAGCCGGGCAGCCCTGCAGGGGCCAATGATGTGCAGTTGAGGGCTGGCCTGTGGCACTCTGAGTGCAGCCTGGCTCCTGGCTGGGCCTCCTGCATGGCGGGGGTCACCTGTTGAGGCCCCACTCTGTGCTCATCCGTGGGTCCAGCCAGGGCCATGGGGACCAGGCTGCTTCCTGGCTGTGGGCTGAGCTCCTCCCCAACTCTGATTGCCAGGTTAGACCTGAGAAGGGCACAGGTACTGCCTGCCCCCTCCCTGCTTCCCACCCGACAGATTTGTCCAGGGAACCGAGGGGAGCCCAGGAAAGGGCCTGCGTCACCTTGGCACCTAGTGTGCGTGCAATTACCTGTGGTGGGCAGCTGCGGCGTGGTGGGTGGCTGCGGCGTGGTGGGCGGCACTGCAAGAAGATGGGGTCAGCTCCCTGTGGTTCTCTAAGCCTCCCCACCCCGTGGGGCCTCTGGGAGCTCCGAGGGCCTGAGTCAGAGATGCTCACCAAGGCTGTGGTGGAGGGGACTGGAGGGGCTGGGAGCCCACCCTCCCCTCTCTCCCTTTCTCCTTCCCAGGATGATTCCCACTCTATACCCCAGGCACCCTGGCAGGCCTGGTGAGGGTAGGGGGAGCTGGGAGCTGGTGGAAGAGGGGATGGGAGGGCCCAGTGGGGTTCAGTGCTGTGTTTTTTTCTCTCTGCTGCCATGGGCTGGAGGCTGCCTGAGTCTCTGGAGACCCAAGGGGCCAGGGTCCTGGAGAGTGGAGTCCCAGAGCTCACGTAAGGGCTCACAGCCCCCGAGGGCTCTCTCCCTTGTTTGTGGGATGTGGACGTGCGTTCTGCCTGCATGCAGGCAGGGGCAGGGTTCTCAGGGCAGCCGACTGGACTTACTGCAGGGCACGCACACCCCCTCCTCGTGGTCGAAGTACTCATCCTGGGAGCAGTTGTAGCAGCCTAGGGTGGAGAACGGCCAGGGTCTGTGTGACTGGTGGCCAGCCAGGCCCACCTGCGTGTTTCCTGCCCTGGCGGCCTCCTTCCTCTCTGCTTTTTTTTTTTTTTTTTTTTGAGACAGAGTCTCGCTCTGTCGCCCAGGCTGGAGTGCAGTGGCACAATCTTCGCTCACTGCAACCTCTGCCTCCTGGATTCACATGATTCTCCTGCCCCAGCCTCCCAGGTAGCTGCGATTGCAGGCATGTGCCATGACGCCCGGCTAATTTTTGTATTTTTAGTAGTGATGGGGCTTCGCCACGTTGGCCAGGCTGGTCTCAAACTCTTGACCTGAGGTGATCTTCCTGCCTCGGCCTCCCAGAGTGCTGGGATTACAGTTTCACCCGCGCACCTTGCTCTAAGCCCCTCCTTTCCTGCCATGCCTTCCTCAGGCCTTGGTCTCTCATACCCTGCTTATCACCCGGGGCTGGGGCTTCGGTGCCATCTTCCAGTCCTCACCTCCCCCTGGACCTCAGACACTGGCCCCTCTTCTGTGCTCCCCGATGCAGGTGCCCTGCATTGCCCTCCTGAGCCCCAACACATCTGTCCTCTGTGTGTCCGGATGGCTCCAGACACCACCCTCCTCCACCACTTGGGCCAGGACCTGTTAATCCCAGGACCCTCTGCATTCAGACCTCTGCCTTGGGGCAGCCACAGGCCTCACAAAGACCCCTCCCTCCCGGCCACACCCCACCCCACAAGTCTGTGTACCCCACACCCCTCTGCAGCCCGGTGCCCCTCACTCGCTCCCTCTGCCCTCTGCAGCCCCGCGCCTCTCACTCGCTCCCTCTGCCCTCTGCAGCCCCGCGCCCCTCACTCGCTCTGCCCTCTGCAGCCCACGCCCCTCACTCGCTCCCTCTGCCCTCTACAGCCCCGCGCCCCTCACTCACTCCCTCTGCCCTCTGCAGCCCTGTGCCCCTCACTCGCTTGCTCTGCCCTCTGCAGCCCCGCGCCCCACTCGCTCCTTCTGCCCTCTACAGCCCCGCGCCCCTCACTCACTCCATCTGCCCTCTACAGCCCCGCACCCCTCCACCGCTCCCTCTGCCCTCTGCAGCCCGCGCCCCTCACTCGCTGGCTCTGCCCGCTGCCCTGGCTTTCTTAAGGGTTCTGGGCACAAGGCTGCTCCTGGCTGCTCCTCTGGACACTTTCCTGGCTCCCCTCCTCACCTTTCCCATCCTCGCCCTCACATCTGCCTCCCACCAAGGGCCCCAACCACCCTGTGTGGCACAGAAGCCTGTGGCTCTCCCACCCCAGCCTGCCTTTCTCCTCTCCATGGTGGGCGCCTCGGCCGACACTGGGTCTGCCTCCTTAAGCACCTCTCCCTGGCTGGGAGGGAAGCTCCAGGTTGCAGGACTGTTTGTTTTGTGTAAGGCCAGGTCCCCTGACCTGGAGCCGGCCTGGAGGACAGAGGTGCTCAGGACCCATCTGCTGAGTGACTGTGTGTGTGAAAGAATGAATGTGCAAATGAATGCATGAATGTGCGTGTGTGTATGAGCGAATGTGCATGAATGAATAAGCAAACATGAATGAATGAATGAATATGTGTGAATGAATGTGCATGGGTGAATGTGCGTGAGTGAATGTTGAATGAATGTGCGTGAATGTGCATGAGTGAATGTGCGTGAGTGAACAAATGTGCGTAAATGAATGCATGAGTGCGTGAATGTGCATGAATGTGGGTGAGTAAATGTGTGAATGAGCATGAATGAATGTGAATGTGTTGAGTGAATGTGCGTGAATGAATGTGAATGAGCGTGAATATGTTGAATGAGTGTGTGTGGGTGAATGAATGGATGAATGGAGTGAATGTGCATGAGTGTGCGTGAATGTGCGTGAGTGAATGTGCGTGAATGAATGTGCATGAATCTGCGGGAATGTGACTGCGTGAATGAGCATGAATGAATGTGTGTGTAGTGACTGCGTGAATGAATGTGTGAATGAATGTGCATGAGTGTGTGTGAGTGGATGAACAAATGTGCGTGAATGAATGAATATGCGTGAATGAATGCATGAATCTGCATGAATGAATGTGAATGTGCGTGAGTGTGTGTGAATGAATGTGTGCAAATTAATGAATGTGTGAATTAATGAGCATGAATGAATGTGTGAATGAATGAATGCGTGTGAATGAATGAATGTGCATGAATGAGTGAATGGGTCCCCCTGTGTATCTGCGTTGCCTCCCGGTCACCTGGCACCTTCGATGTTGCTGCCTGGGACGCTCTGTGGCTGGCTGGGGCAGAGGCAGGGCTGGTAGTGCCACGTGCAGTTGGCCTCCTGTGTGTACTGGTACTCGCCATGGCCGTCCTGCGTGTGCGTGTTGTAGAAGCCGCAGTAGATGGCTGGGAGGAAGGGAGCTGTCAGCTGGTGGGGTTCCTGGCCCTGGCCCTGGCCCTGACCCGGTGGTTCCCCTGGGCATGCATGGAACCTGAGTGTGGGCGGGGAAGGTCTGGGCCCTCTTGGTGAAGCCTCCCCTGGGCAGCTGGGGGCTGCGGGAGGGCCAGGGTGGCCCCGCAGGGCACAGCCCGGCGCCTGTCCAGGGAGAGGGGCCTGTGGGCAAGGGCAGCCCTGCGCCGGCCCTTAGTGGCGCTGGGTGGCAGGGGCTGGAGCAACCTGTGGGAGGGGTGGTCACTCACGGCAGAAGGCCGGGGTCCTCCAGTCCACGCACACACCCTTGTCCAGACAGGCTTGGGCGTAGGCAGCCACGGCATCGCACAGACACTCACAGTCCCCGCCACTGTCACACCCACATGCGTCGCGCACGCAGGCCTCGTAGTAGGGCAGGTGGTATACCTGCAGGGGTGTGTGCCAGTCAGTGTCTGGCTGCCGGGGGATGGCGGGGCATCAGGCTTTGCCACCTGCAGGGCCCTCAGTGTGGTCAGGCCGGAGTGTGGCGGTAAGGGCGCTGGGACTGGGTGAGCGGCACCACGTGGACCTCAGCCCTGACCGCTAGCCACGCTCCCGGAGCCGATGCTGCCACGGAGGCCTGACCCGAGCTCACGCCTTGAGACCCGCCATCGGGACCAAGATGCCGCTGCCGCTAACCACGGCCACTGCAGTCCCACCCAGGGTCTCTGCTCCCCCCACGTCACGCTCACATTCAGCGGGCCAGTGCCATGCTGTTCCCCCGCGGGGTGCCCCCATCCTCTCAGTTCTTACTGCGCCGCGATGGCCGGATCACGCCCTGGGCTGGGAAGTGCACGCCCTGCATCCTGGAGGTCTCCCTGACCACCAGCTCCTGAGCAGGGGGCCCACCAGGCGATGCTGCCCCAGGGGACTCGTGGCACTGTCTGGGGGTGCTATTGGCATCTGGTGGGTGGAGGCCGGGGGGCTGCTTAACAGCCACAGTGCACGAGTCGGCCCCACATCAGGGCCCTGCACTCAGGCAGAGGGTCTGAAACTCTCTGCACCCTGACCTGGCTGGTCTGGGATCCCACGGAGGGAGAACCGTGCCTGGCTTCCCCGCCCCTTCCCCCGCCCCCACCGGACATTTGTGGAGGGGCAGGCGCACAGCCCTCGTGCCCGGTGCCCACCTTGCTGTGGCAGGTGGCAAAGGTCTGGCTGTTGATGACGCTGCACTTGCGCTCGGCCCAGGAGCGCCGGAAGGCATTGAGACTGCAGGGGTCTGTCACGAAGCTCACGTCCCCGCACAGCGGGCTCTCCTTCCACGAGTTCACCAACTCCAGCTCGCTGGATGCCACGTACCTGCTGCGCGTCTCGAAGTCGTCCTTCATGTTCCCGTTGAAGTTGCCACACAAGCCGCAGAGGGGATCCTGCAGACGGTGGCATCAGGCCGGGCCCAGGGGCCGTGCCATCTGTCTCCACCCCTGCATCAGGGAGGGCCTGGGAGGAGGCAGAGGGCGTGCGGTACCTGGGAGGCACGGGCGATCCTGATGAGGATGGTCATGTGCCTGTTCCAGATGAGCGTCAGGTTGTACCTCCCGGGGATGCTGATGTCCACGACAAGGCTCAGCGCACCCGGCGTCACCCCGAGCTGCACGTGGGGCTCCTCCCCGGTGACCGTGTAGTTTCTGTCCGCCAGCACCACGGACAGGCCCTGTGGGGTGGGGTTGGCATAGGACTGCCTGTCTGTCTCCCCCGGCCCCTGGCACAGCCGTGCTGGACCGAGCTCTCAGAGACAGAGCTGCCCAGGTCTGTTAAGGCCATGCACAGGAGCGCCTGCTGAGAGCCAGCTTGGGGCAGAAGGGCCTGGCATGCCTGGAACAGGGCTGAGGGCTGAAGCTCGGGCTTCCTGGAGAGTCCCTCCCCTCTGCCCGGGAGACATTCTGCAGTCCCTGAAACCTTGTGGGGCACAAGCACCCGTGGTCCTGAGCGTCTGGCCAGGGAGGGGCAGCAGGCACCCCTCAAGGAGAGGCAGGCGGGGAGGGCTGCATCTCGGGGCAGGACCTGGAGGCTCCAGTGCGCGGGATCCAGCTGTGTGGCAGGGCCCCCTACCGCCCGTCCTGCCCTGCCAGAGTCTGCCCGGCTGCTCACCCCCAGGAAGATCTTGATGGCCCGTGAGCATGTGACCCCGGAGTTCCCACAGATGACGTTCTCTGTCAGGATCTTGAAGGTGGGCTGTGAGTCGTTGACACCACAGACGTCCTGCAGGGAGAGGGCGCTGAGGAGGAGCCCTGGAGGCCGTGCCTCTGGGTCCCCGGCCCCTGCGGCCTGGCACCCGATGGTTACCGTGGCCAGGATGTACTCGCAGTTGCCGTCGAATACGAAGCGCTGGCCGTCGAAGGTGATGACGTGGCCCTCCCCGTAGAGGGTGCAGGTGGATGGGCAGTGGGTGCCCTGCTGACAGGCCCACCTCCCCCTTGAGCAGGAGCTGTGGAGACAGCAGGTGTGGGTGGTGGGCCTGCGGCCCTCCTGCCATACTGGGTGTGGTCCCTGGAGAGGCCAGACTGCACCTCTGGACGCCCCCGCCTCTGGGACAGCCCCACCCCGGGCAGCCTCCGCCTGCCCCAGATGGCCCCAGGAGCCCAGGGCGTCTGAAGCGAGGCTTTGTCTCACCAGGTCCTGCAGTCAGTGTGGAGCTCAGCTCCTCCAGGGTAGGAGACCCCCGAGAACTCACATGGGCACTCCTCGGGGGGCACACACTGCCCGTCGGCATTCTCGTAGAGGCCCTCGGCGCAGACACAGCCAGGCTCACACTTGGTGGGCACCTGGAGGGAGGCAGGTCAGCAGCTCCTGGGAGGGTGGCCTCAGCCAGCTGCTGCCCAGCCCTGGGCCCCTCTGAGACTGCCCGGCGTGTCTCCCAGGTCCTCTCCCTGAATACAGCCCTGCTCTGTGGCCTTTGTGGGCAGCTGGGCTTACTGCCTTAGCAAAGCTTCCCCCACCTCGTGGAAGGTCCTGGGACCCAGTGCACACGGCTGGGCTGCTGTACCCACTCCCACACATGGGCAGCCCACCCTCCCCGAGCTGGTGCCCACTGTCCTTAGGGAGCCCTGCAGACGAGCCCCCGGGGCCTCCAGCTGCCTGGCCACAGGGCCGCTTCCACCTCGTGGCCAGCCCCAGGCACCCGCTGCAGGGCAGAATGCGGCCAGGTCTCCCGGAGTTCTGTGGAAACCCCCTCATGGTTCAGCTGGGGCCCGGGCATTGTCCCTGCTCCTCGCGCGCCCCCTTACGCAGGCAACACCGGTGGCCAGCATCTGGCATGTGGGGGCACAGGCTGCCCCAAACTTGTTCTCGGAGGACTGGCTGCAGGACTTGAAGGTCTTAGGGGCCTGGCAGGAGGCTGCAGGAAAGAGGGGTGCGCGGTCAGGACACTCAGAGGAAGCCGGGGCCCCTCACAGTCCCAGCCTGCGGCCAGCGCTGCTGTACGTACCCAGGAACATCTGTGGCCGCTGCGGGCAACTCAGCCGCCCGTTGATGCAGTGGCTGCAAGAGAGAGGCTGCGTGAGACCCCGGGACCTGGCAGGGACCCCCCGCCTGGCCCCTGCCCGGTCCCTCACCAGGTGATGCCGTTGATGACAGTGGACTGCTCGGCCAGGATGAACTTGTAACCCTCCAGTATGCACGGGCACTGGGCCTTGCGCACACACTCGCCCTTTTGGTTCAGGTAGGTGCCATCGGGGCAGTTGCAACCGTCCACGGGCACGGCGCTGTGGTGGCACTCGGTGGCACGGTCCGACAGCGACAGGCAGGTGCGCTCACAGGCTTGGCTGTTGTAGCTGAAGGTGGTGTTACCCGTGCAGGGGATGGCTGTGGGGGACCCGGGCATCAGACTCTCCGGGAGGGGGCGGCCGGGAGGGCAATCTCGGGTTCCCCTGCCTGCCGGGCACTGCAGAGCCTCAGAGCTTGGGGTCCCAGGACACCCCCTCGTGAGCCCAGCCTGCCGTGACCCCGCTTAAGCCCCGTCGGGCACTCACTGCAGTTGTCCACACTGCTTCTCCAGCCCCAGAGCAGGACGCCCCGCAAGGAGCAGGCGTGTACGTAGTCGCCCAGGGCGGCACAGATGTGGGGAAAGGTCTCCTCGTAGTTGCAGGCCTGGTACACGCACCTCTGCGGGCAGAGAGCCAGCATGGGCTGGTGGCAGGCACCCTGCCCTGGGGACATGGGGGTCCCAAACCTATGCCCTTGGGTGCCTGAGACCTTGTCAGCCACCACAGCCTCCCCTGCAGCCCTCCCAAGACGCCCTCGGGCCCTCACCTTGTAGAAGGGTGCAGGGTTCACTGTGGCGTGGCACCTCTCGAACACCGTGCCTGTCCTCAGCAGCATGGAGCAGTGGGTCTCTGCACACACCTCTGGGGATGACAGGCCCGGGCGTGAGTCCCGGCCCCTCCCATTCCAGCTACGGCTCCTCCCAGGGACCCCCCACCCTGGCAGCTGGGCCTGTGGTCCAGTCCAGGGGTCTGTCAGAACTGTGGGCGCTGGGGGGGCAGCCAGGGGAGTGGGGGGCCGGACACTCACTGTTGAGCTGGCTCATGGAGCAGGGGTCAGTCTCACGCTCCAGAGCGGCCGGACAGTTCCCCGCCCGCCAGGAGTCCACAAACAGCGAGGCGGTGCCCTCGGCGATACCCATGCTAGTGGTGAAGTCATCCGTTGTGTCCCCGTTGAAGTTGCCGCAGAGCCCTGAGCCGGCGGGGCGTGAGCTCGACTTGAACCCATCCCTCCTGCACCCATTCCTGCCCACACGCCCTGGAGCTCCCGTCCTTCCTCTAACAGCACCCTGGGTGAGAGGCTGCGTGGGCCACACGTGCCTGTTACCCCTGGGGGCTCCCCGGACACAGAGGGTTGTGTGAACCTCTCTTGGACCTTTCTCCTCCCCTGGTCATGGCCAGACCCTGTAGGGATGAGGCAACAGGGCCACCTGGAGAGGCAGGGACTCACCTCTGGTCTGACCTCTGAACTGGGGCCCAACAGTGACATAGGCCTGGAAGATGGGGCGCAGCTGGACCACGAGCTCCAGCCCGAAGCTGGTGGCCATCTGGAGGTGGGTGGACGTCTGCCTGAAGACCGTGATGTTGCCTGCAGGACGCAGTGCTCAGTGGGCCGTCTGGGCTCCCTCCCCACCCACTGCAGCCCGCCCCGAAGGCACAACTCTGGGGGGCCACAGACTGGGCCAGGACGTACGAGTCTTGTATGGCAGCCACTTGGCTTCTCCGTTGTTGGTGACCACCTCGTCCTGAGAGATCACAATTTTGTCCTGGAGAGAGGGTGGCCTGAGTCAGGGTGCAGGCACCAGGGAGCGGAGCCCTGCTGGCAGGGATGGGCGCAGGAAAGGCCTTACCTGCCTGGAGAGGTAGACCACAGCCACCAGGGAGGTCTCGGAGTGTGAGACGCCGGACTTGTCGTACACAGCCATGAGGGCACCGTCCTCGGGAAGCTGGGGGCTCTGCGAGGGGGCGGGGCTCAGACACGGGTGGGGTCACCGGGAGCGCCCCTCCCCACGGGCCACAGGGCTCGTCCTACCTGGAGGAGGATGTAGGTGCAGGTGCCGTGGAAGCGGTAGGGCCTGGCGTCAAATGTGGTAACAAAGGAGCCACCTTCCAGGGAGCAGTGTCCGGGGCACGGCCGCTCCGTGCACACCCAGCGGCCCAGGGTGCACCGGCTGTGGGTGGGCGTGGGGGTAGCGGCATGGTGGGCAGGGCCGCTGGAGCCAGACAGCACACCCCTGCCTGCCCTAGGCCAGTGGAACCCCTGCCGGCCGGCCAGAGCCCCCTCCGGCGCCTCACTCACCAGGTTTGGCAGGCAGCTATTGTGACCTCCCCGGGGGCATACATGGCGCCGTGGAGCACACAGGGGCACTGGGTGACGGGCACGCAGGTGTGGTTATTGGAGAGGTCATTCAGGACCGTACCTGCAGGAGAGGGTCTTCTTGGGGCTTGGGTGGGACTGACTGCCTCCCACTCTCCCCTCCCTGGCTCCAGGGAGACGCCCCCTCCAGCCTGGCTCCAGGGAGACGCCCCCTCCAGCCTGGCTCCAGGGAGACGCCCCTCCAGCCTGGCTCCAGGGAGACGCCCCCTCTAGCCTGGGCCATGACCTCTCTCCAGCTGCACTTGCATTCGCAACTCTATGTCAGGCCCTGGGCGTGCACAGCCCCTCGTGCCAATGTGCCCGGCCCAGGTTCCTGGTGAGTGGTGGCCTCCAGCAGGCAGGGACGTGTAACTGTCCCTTGGGCCCGGCTCAAACCCTGCCTTCCCTCGGCAGCTCCTAGACCGCAGTGAGCAGCCCTCACCGCCCGTGGGTTTGCAGGGGTGGCCGTGGCTGGGGGACCTGCAGGCTGTAAGCGTCCAGGCGGGAAAAGCCTGTCCCAGGGCAAGAGGCGCCAGAGCTGGGACTCAGGCAGCAGAATGTTGGGGTGACCTGGGTCGGGGTGGGTGGGGTCTGACGTCCCCTTGTCTCTGGGTTCTCTCTAGGGGTCCCGGGGAGAGAGAGTGCCTGCGACTGCCCTCACCTTCCGGGCAGAAGCACCCGAAGGTGCAGGAGCTGGAGCAGCTGTGCTGCGGGTTGGAGCAGGTCTTCACGCAGGCCGAGCCGCACTCCTGGTACACCTGGTTGGCCGGGCACTGACCCACGGCTGTGGGCACACGCGGCTCCGGTGAGAGGGTCCCACCCCCCCCACCCCTCCCTGCCCCACCCCAGCTTGATGGAGGACTTAGCCCAGCCCTTCCTCCATCTAGAAGCAGCAGCGAGGATCTCCTGTCTCTCAGACCAGGAGGGATGCAGGCGTCACGTCAGGCAGTCCAGGGGCTGGGAGAGCTGGGTCTGGAGCCCTCGGCCTTCCTGCCCCTCCCTCTCCCTTCCCTGGACTCACAGCACAGGCCGGGGCTCCGCCAGCGGCGGACCGGCTGGCCCACCATGCTGCACTGGCGGGAGTACTCCGACAGGGTGGCACAACTGCTGTTCTGTGGGCCTGGCTGGGGGGCTGCGGCCACGTCCGCCTGGCAGCTTAGCACGAAGGGCTCCTTGGACACGCTGCACTCAGGGGCCACCAGGGTCAGCAGCTGGGTGCAGATCCGGGCCTGGGGGGGCCACTCAGGGTCATGGGGGCAAAGGCCACACCCCATGCCACCACGACTGGGGAGGTCGGGCAGGGCGTCTGTGATGCGGCTGCTTGTGGGGGCCCTTGGTGGTCTCGGCGACCCTGTCAGACCTGGGGTCAGCCCCACCTGGAGCCCCCTTGCTTACGTGCTGGGCCTGCCGGACGTGGGTGCTGGGGATGTCCTGGAAGGTGCAGATCTCGCCGGGGTCGTCCAGCTTCTGGAGGGCAGCAAACTTGTGGGGTTCCAGGAACTTGCCTGGGGTGCAGAATGGGGGTCAGCACCGTGGGGGCTGGGCCTCAGAGGCCCCCCTGCCCTGCCCCCCACCTAGAGGCCCCCCAGAGGCCCCCCAGCCCTGCCCCCACCTACCCTCCTCACTGACAAACTCGTTGGTCACCTTCCCGTCAAAGTTCCCGCAGAGCCCGCACATCTGACCCATGTACTTCCGCTCCACCAGAACCTGCGGG
The DNA here is from genome assembly GCF_000001405.40 of Homo sapiens. Classification (NCBI taxonomy): domain Eukaryota; kingdom Metazoa; phylum Chordata; class Mammalia; order Primates; family Hominidae; genus Homo; species Homo sapiens. Next base: position 28,007 of record NW_015148966.2, read on the forward strand.
AGACGGCTCTGCTGGGGGCCCGGGGGCCAGGGGCCCCCTCATCTGCTGTGGAGGGCTCTCAGTTCCTGCTCCTGGACCCAGAGCCCCCACCATCCCCCCACCTGCTCATCTGCCTCTTCTTATGGGAGGCTAATTTTCCAGTGGAGAAGCCGAGTCACCCACAAAACCCAGTCCTGGCTCATGTTGCTGGTCAGGGGTCAGCACTGCTTGGCACGAAGGGCCTGGCTGCATGGCAGCCTGAGGGCTGGCTGGGACCCCCAAGGAGGGCAGCCCCTCCCAAGTCCCACCTGCCCCCCCGTGCTGCGGGTCTCCAGGCCCACCCTGGCCCTTCTCTCCTCACCATGAGGTGGCTGTCAGGACCCCACACGACTTCCAGCTCCAGCTCCAGCTGCTTGGCCACCAGCCGCACGCTCTGGCCGAAGGGTGTGATCTGGAGTCCATTGCTGGTATAGGGCAGGCTGATGACCCTGTGGGGCAAGGGAAGTCGGTGGTCGATCCTCAGTCCTCCGGCCCCCGAGCCCCCGGGCCCCGGCCCACCTGACCTACCCGATGTCCTTGACTGAGATGATGGCTTCGCTCACAGTGACGACGGAGGCCCCCAGCTCCACGATGATCCGCGAGATGCTCCCGTCTGGGCCTCGCCGCAGCTGGACACTGAAGGTGGGGAAGGCGTCCTTGCAGGTGGCCGCGAAGATGTAGTTGCACGTCCCCGAGAAGTCGTACACGTGGTGGTCGAAGGTGGAGAAGTGACCAGCCCCCCACGTGGAGCACTGGCCTTTGTCCGGGGCTACAGAGAGAGCAGTGCTCACACAGCCCTGTGTCCCCACCATCCTGGCCAGGCAGGGCTGGGGCAGGCAGAGAGGTCACTCGTCTCCCTGGGCCAGGGTTTTTGAGTTGGGGCCAGGCTGTGGAAACCCCAGACATCCGATGAACCTGAGTGCTATGGTATATGCCTGGCCAGGAGTCAGCACCGCTGTGGGCATGTGCACACACGTGTGTGTGGGTACACGTATGTGTGTTGTGTGTGTGCACGTGTGTGCACGTATGTGCGTGTCTCGGGTGTGTGCATACGTGTCAGGTGTGTCCATGTGTGCATTGTGGGTGTGTGTGTGTTGGAGGGCTGTGTAGGCGTGTGAGATATACACCTGCATGTGTGTTGGGTGTGTGTGATTGTGTTGCATGCACATGTGTGTTTGTGTGAGCTGGGCATGTGTGTCGAGTGCATGTGTGTGCATTCGGGGTGTGTATGTGTGTGTTGGGTGCGTGTCTCAGGTGTGTAGGGTGTGTACATAGGGTGCATGTGTGTGTAGGGTGTGTGTGTGTTGGGTGCGTGCACATGTGTAAGTCGTGCGTGTTGTAAGTGTGCATGTTTGCATGTCTGGGATGTGTGTGCATGGGTGTTGGGTGTGTGTGCATGTGTTTGTCAGGTGTGTTTGTGTGTAGGTTGTGTGTGTTGGGTGTGTGTGCATGTGTGTTGGGTTGTGTGTCTGTGTAGAGTGTTGGGTGTGTGTGTGACGTGTGCTCATGCATGTGTCATGTACATGTGTATGCGTGTGTCAGGTGTGTGTGCATGTGTATATTGGGTATGTGTGTGTGTTGGGTGTATGTGCATGTGTGTTCATGTTGGTGCATATATGTGTGTTGGATGTGTGTGTCTTGGGGGTGACCTGGGCTCCGGGCCCCTCTCTCCTGCACACCGGGCCTGGGTGGTCTGGGCGGCAGGATCAGTGGCCGCTGTGTTCTTACCTGTCTGTGGAGAGTCCTTCAGCCTCTGGAGGCCTGGGCTGGTGTAGGAGGTGTTAGCCAGACCTGTGTGGACGGGACCCGCAGTCGGTGTGGGGCTACCCCGTCGTCCCTGAGGGCGCCGCTCACCTCTGCTCAGGGCTGCTCCGCCCGTTTCCCTGCACACACTCGGCGTGCGAGAAGTGTCCATGGCCCGTGGGGCTCGAGGCCTCAACAGCAAGCCAAGCGCTTGGCCTCCCATGCTGTCCTTCACGAGCCCCAGCTTCCTTCCCTGCTCTCGTTCACTCCCTCGTTTGTCCACTCAGTCCCAGTTCAGCCGTCAGCCCCTCGGGGTTCGGCAGATGGCGGGCACCCTGTGTGCAGGGTACTCATCCCTGGGGCTTCTGGGTGGGGCTAGGAGGGGCTGGTGCGGGTGGCAGGGGCTTGGCGGCGGAGCCAACAAAGTGGGCTGTGCCCGCCTCCCCAGCTTGGCCGCCTGGTTTCCCTGAGGGGTCTGCGCCAAGGCCCCACAGCCGGTTCTCCCTGCTCTCGGTGGCTCCGGGGCTCTAAACATGGCCGCTTTCCTGCACGTCAGCCTTGAGACAGCCTTGATGTCAGGCCTGGCACTGAGGCCACTGTTGTCAGAGAAACATCCAGATAGCCCAGTCACGGTGACTCCAGGGCAGGGCAGCGGGGGACGTCCCACCCTGACTCCCAGAGGCTGGGGTGGGGCCAACACCCCCCACGTCCCACCCCCTGTACCCAGAGGGAGACTTTTCCCACCTCTGGGTAACTCCCCGGACCCTGCCTCCGAGACTATGACCCTTCCTGTGGCTCCCACGAGCCCCCGATGTCTGAGTGGTGGTGCGGCACCTGAGCAGGACCCGTGACCTCTCCAGGCCCTTCTTGGGGCCGGGACCCTCCTTGCCCCTGCCCATTGGTTAGCAGGGCACTCACAGCACCTCCTTCCAGATGTAGCTCAGAGATCCCATTCCTGCCACTCCTCACCTGTGCTCTCACCCCAGGCTCTGCCCACTTTCTGGGACTTACTTGATGCTGCCCCCATTACCGCTGGACACCTGTGTCTCCGGTGACGCAGGGGCAGGGGCCTGTCAGCTGGGAGATGGTGTTAACCGCGGTCCAGGGAGGAGCCAGGCTGCCTGCCCCTTGGCCGCCTGGGTGAGTCCTGTCTGGCACAGGCAGGAGGTTGGGTATTTGAGTGACTGGATTTAAGAAGAATGCCAACCTTGGCTATGTGGGACACATATTTGGCTGTGGTCCCCTTTGGCCTTGAGATCGTTTTCTGATGGGTTGCACCTGGCTTATCCCCAGTGTAAGCTGAGTTTACTCCAGACTGGTGTGGGGGTGGCTCATGCTGGGCCCTGAGCCTGGCGAGCACCTACCCCCTCACTCATCCCCCTCCTGGGGGTCCCAGTAGGTGTCATGGTCCTCAGCCCCCCGCCATTCCTTCCAGGGATGATCCACAGGGCTCAGAGCACCTGCTGCAGGAGTGCGCAGCACACCGAACCCTCAGCCATGGAACTCAGTGGTTCCTGGGATGGGGCCCTCGCTGGCCTCTGGTGGGGGAGGGGTGGGAGAGCTCTGAGCGGGAGGAGCAGTTGGCTGCCTGCCCCTGGGCCAGCACCTCTGGAGGCTGCAGAGCTGTGACCGGTCTCCCCTGGGCAATGCCCCCTGCAACTCAGTTTCTCCACCTTTCCGATGGGGGGTGGCACTTGGGGGCCGTCCCCGCTGTAGCACAGACACCTCGGGCCTGTGTTTCGGTGCCCTCAGCCCTGCCAGGCTGGCTTCACTGCCCCGGGTGGGTGCCTCATTGCTGCACCCCCTGCGCCCCCCGCCGCCCTCGCCCTGCCCCACCCGCAGGAGGTTCCCCGAGTCCACTGGCTCCAAGTCGGCTGCCTCCAGCTCTGAAGTCCAGCGGGAGACTCCTGCGTTCCTGCCCAGACTGGCTGTGCTTCCCCTCGGCTGATCCCTTGGCCAGGCGCATGGGCATCTGGGCGGGTTGGTCCGCCACCCCCGGCCTCTCAGCCCCTGGACGAGCACGAGGCGGCAGGTGCGCACTGTTCCTTCTGCACGCTTGGCGGCCGCCCACCCCTGCCTCCCGGCCCACCGCGGCCCAGGCCTGCAGCCCGTCTGTCCGACCCCACACTCTGCTGGCTGAGGCCCCTCCCATGTTGGCAGAGATGGCGCTCAGAGATTATTTGCTGGGGTGACGGGTGGACACCCCCACTTGGCCCTCCACCCTCTGCACTGCCCACAGCCCAGACCTCCAGCCTCTCTGGGCCTCACCACACCTCCCTCCCTGGCTCCAGGGTGGTGGCCCGAGGGACTAGGGGTCGCACTCTGCTGCAAGTTTAGCCCCACTTCCTGGCACTTGTCCCCAAGCTGTGCCAGGTGTGCAGGTAGGGGCTGGGGTCCCAAGCAGAGGGCACCGCTGGGAGGGCTCAGAGACCCCCACATCTCCCACGGTTGAAGGGTGGTGCCCGGCGTGGTAGGGAGCGGGCTCAGAGACCCCCATATCTCCTACAGTTGAAGGGTGGTGCCCGGCGTGGTGGGGAGCGAGCTCAGAGACCCCCACATCTCCCACGGTTGAAGGGTGGTGCCCGGCGTGGTGGGGAAGGGGCTTCAAAGGAGAGAAGGGGTGGGGTGGGCTTGGGTCGCCCTACAGTGGGACACCCCTGGGGGGGTCCCACTGTGCTCTGAGCCCGAGGCGCCCAGGTTGGCAGCAGCTCCGAGGGCGAGCTCTGTCACGCCAGCGTCCACCCCAGGGGGCTCCCGGCTGTGGAGGAGGGTCGGGCCAGCTTGGAGAGGAAGGAGGAGCACGGAACACAGAGGCCCTTGGGCTGGTGCCTTGGTCGGCAAGAGGGGTCTCCCCAGGTCTCAGGCTGCGGCCACAGAGGGACCCCTTGGGGCTGGCTCCTTCTGGGGGCCTGGGGAGGGACTGATGGTCACCTGCAGCAGCCGCAGGGCAGGCGGTTGGCAGAGGATCCAGGATGTCAGTCCCTCCTGGATCCTGCCCGAGCTGGGTAGGGGAGCGCGGGGGAGAGGGCAGGCTGCCTGCGGCGGTTCTGAGCCCAGGATGGCCGTACACCTTCCCCCCTCTTCCCCCCACGGCGGCCACACCAGGGGAGGCAGCGTCCCCCACTTCTGTAGACTAGGAAACGAGGCCCAGGGCCCAGCAGAGACTGTGCCTCTGTCCCCCACACTCCAGAGACCTCTCAGGACTCAGGACCCCACTCGGGGAGGGAGAGCGCCAGGGCTGGGCACCAGCACACCTGCCCACTGTTCCCGCGGGAGTGCCGGACCCCACTCCAGCTGAGCGTCCTCCCCCGCTGGCTGCTGTGCCAGCTCACAGGAGGGCGTCCCTGCCCAGGCCCCATGGGGTCCCTGACCCCAATTGGCAGAGCCCAGCACCGCGGCTGCTGGGGGGACCCGGGCCTGGCAGCGGGGGCTGGTCACGGAGCCGAGCTGGGGCCTCCCGTCCATCAGCGTCCATGTGGGCCAGCCGAGTTGTCGAGGCGAGAAGGCCCAGAGACCCCCGCACACAGGGCCCCTCTGAGGGCACCGCAGTGTCTGGCGCCCCTCGACCTCACTCACCAGCGCTGAGCAGGGCTCCGCAGCAGGACAGCAGCAGCCACCGCTGGACCATGGTGCACAGTGGAGAGGAGCTCGCGCTGGGCCCGGCAGGCCTGCTGCTGCCATCCATGCGGCTCCAACGGCCGGTCCTGGGTGCCTTATATAGGCTGGCGGGCCCTCCCCCGCCGCACCTGCCTGCGCCCCGCGGTCCAGCCCCTTAATCACCACTGCCGGCGGGCGCCGCGGTGGCCAAACAGGATCTGGGCCTGCTTTATCAGGACTCGGCTTTCTTTGGAAAATCCTGCAGGCAGCGGCCCCATTATCACCCATTCCCAGCGGGGGGCTGACGCACGCACGCCCCCAAAGGTCCTGCAAACACCCCCTGCATGGGGGCCATCCTGGCCCGGGCCCTCCCCGCTGCTGGGTCAACGTGGCACTGTCAGCCACACGCCTGGTGGCCGGGATGGACCTGTTGGGGGAGGTCGGGGGCCCTGGGGCACCTGCTCTGCCCCTTCCGGGGAGCCCAGTGCTGACCCAGCTTGGGGGGAACCCTGCTGCACCTGAATCCCAGGACCCCCTGAGGGGCACTGGGCCCACCCCTCACCCTGAATCCCAGCACCCCCTGAAGGGCCCTGGGCCCACCCCTGAGTTCCCTGCCCAACAGGAAAGATCACCCAGCGGGAGGGACCTTGCCAGGGGGTGTTGGGGAGCAGGGGCTCCGCCGTCTGGGACAGGCAGCGGCCTTGGGGCTTAGACAGGCTGCCCTGGAGGCCTGAGGAGCTACCGTGTCTCTGCAGCCCGCCAGGTCCCAGGCTTGCTCCTGAAGACCCCTCCACAGCTGTTTTCTTCCCCCTTCGAGCGCTGTTGGCAGCCATCTTGAGGACAGGAACTCGGGGGCTGCTCGTCTGCTGGGGCATCTCTGCGGGGCTGTGGGGTCGCCGGTATGCTCCTGACCCCTTCAGGCAGAGGGGCAGGGACTGGGATGACCAGGGGGCCTTGCCTGTGGAGGCACGTGCCACGTCTGAGGGGCCGGGGACAGGGCAAGGTCTGGTGACATCGGGGTGGTGCCGGTGGCTGGCGGGGGGGAGGGAGGTGGAGGTCTGAGTGGTCACCAGGATTGCCCCAGCTTCGTTTGGCAGCCCAGGGACCCCTCCCAAAGGGGATTTTGGTCCCCGACTCCGACAGGAGCCCTCGCTGGCCTCGGGGCTGCTCCCACCACACGTCAGCATCCCGGCCTGAGCCAGGAGGGACTCCGAGGCCGCCTGGTCTCCCTGGGCCGGGCTCCCCACATGGGGCTGCACCCCCATCCCACAGGTGAGCTGAGCCTGCTGGCTGGGACCCGGGCCTGCCACCTCTGTCCCACCTGTGCCCACACGCCCGGGAGCTGCCCCACCTGCCCCCGGAAGAGGCCCCAGGGCCACGCGTGCCATACACAGTAGGTGTCGCGTGTTTCACTTAAATCAGCTTCAGTTTTGTGGAACGTTGCTTGAAGTTACAATAAGTTGCTTTTGTAGGAAATTGCAGTACGTGTGCTGCCCCCCACCAGGAGCCCCACACCAGGCATTCTGGGTGTTCTACTCTCATCTGTTCTTCTTTTTAATTTTTCGGTTTTGTAGGGACGAGGTCTCACTTTGTTGTCCAGGCTGGCCTTGAACTCCCGGACTCAAGAGATCCTCCTGCCTCAGCCTCCCAGAGTGCTGAGATGACAGGCGTGAGCCACCGTGTCCAGCCTTGGCTGTCCCTTCTTAACACGCTCAGTGGTCCCTGTGGTTCAGGTGAGAAGCTGAGGCACAGGAGTGAGGCCCTTGCCCTGTCATGCTGAGAGGTTGGATGGACGCAGGGCTCACAGCTGGCCCTCGTTCTGAGCTGGGGCCTCTCAGCCCGGGCTCGAGGTGGGGACGATGAGGGGCAGAGATCTTAGGGCCTCCTTCCCTGGGTGGGTCACTGCACCAGGGCAGCTGGTGCCAAAAGGGACCTCATGGGCAGGTGTCATGGCTGGGAGCCCTGTGGCCATGTCAGCCCGGCGGTTGTGCTTGTCTGACCACCTGTCTGGGCTTGTGAGAACCGAGCTCAGGTTCTCAGGAGGGATCCTATGAAGCTTTGAATGTAGGGGCAGGGGTGGGTTGGGGGTGAGAGCCAGTGGACACTGGTTCCCCGGCCAGGCCTGTAGGGCTTCGGGTCCTGGCCACTGAGGCTTCCATTTCCCAGCTGTAAAGTGGCAGAGACCCCTGACCTTGAAGGTTATGGCTGTGGCGTTCAGCATGTGAGTCCCCAGCGTCCTCTAGAATTGGGGGATCCCTGCAACTTGCACAGGTGTGGGGCGGGTGGGGGCTGGATACCACCAGCCTGCAATGGGGCTGCCCACTGGGCCTGTGGTGAAGATGCCCGCTTGCAGGTGTGTGGTGATTGTGTATGTGTGTGTGCGCATATGCATATGTGTGCGTGCACGTGTACCTGTGTGTGCGTGTGTATGTGTGTGCCTGTGTGCACGTGAGTGCCTGCCTGTGTGTGTGCATGTGTGCCTGTGTGTGCACGTGTGTGCATGTGTGTGCGTGTGTGTGCACGTGCCTGTGTGTGCCTATGTGGGTGCCTGTGCCTGTGTGCCTGTGAGTGCGTGTGTTTGCGTGTGTGTGCATGTGTGTGCACGTGTACCTGTGTGTGCCTGTGTGTGTGCATGTGTGTGTATAGGTTGAATTTCTGGTGAAAGCTGTGCATCCCAGAATTTATTGTCCCCATGATCTCAGGGCCACTCGAGTGTGTAGAAGGCCCTGGCCCCGAGCCCTGGTGGGGGCTCCATCGTGGCACCATGGGGCCTCCGGAGCCTGGGGGTCTCTCTCTCTCAATGCACTCGCTTGGTGGCAAATGGCTGGGAGCGGTGTTTCTGTCCTGGCCGGGGAGCGCTTGAATGCACTGAGCAGTGGGGGAGATAAGCGTGTGAGGTGTTGTTCCTGGAGCAACCTGGTGATAGGAGCCATGTCCTGTGGGCCTGGCTGGAGAACAGGGCCTGAGGACTGGACAAGTGGGTGATTGTCCCCTCTCATGCCCAGCGCTGGCCCCGCCCTCTATGTCCGTCTAAGTGGCCTGGCCCTGAACAGCGGTCACTCCAGGCCTGGTGTGGCTGTGAAGCGGGAGTCAGGGTGGGCCCCGGGCCCCAGCTTCCCGGCTGAACCGTTAGGGTGGGCGCTGGCTCCTAGACCCGCAGGGCTCCCTGGACAGGTGTGAGCAGACCTTCACTTGGACTTGAGGCCTTCACCCCTGCAGGTGTCTCCAGAAGGCTCTGGAACTGACTCGGGCCTGGCTCCCCTCACAGGAGGCTGAGGCCCTGGGTCTGCTGGGACTTGTGTTCACAGAGGCGCTGGGATGGACCTGCTGGTGGCCCCCTGCCCCTCGGCCAGCCCCTTCCCTGCCCCTCGGCCAGCCCCTTCCCTGCCCCTTGGCCAGCCCCTTCCCTGCCCCTGCCCCGCTGGGCCCTGTGGTCAGGTGTGACGTCCCCTGGAGGAGAACAGGTGGGGCTTCACCCCCTGAGGCTTGGCAGCTGGTCCCCATCAGATCAAAGGATTGAAAACTGTGGGTTTGGGGAGTGTTTGGGAAAGATTTCAACCCCGGGAGTGGGAATGCACCCGGGCTTGGATCGCTGCCATTCCCCATCCGAGGCGCGGGCCCAGTGCTGGCCGGCAGAGCTCAATATGGCCAGCCAGTGCCCAGGTGCATGCCCGAGGGGGCGCGTCACGGCTTCCTGTTGATCCGGATGCCCGATGTCTTGGGAGGCACTGACCCTGTGCCAGGTCCTGGGGCCCATTGCTTGGGGAGGCGGTGGGAACCTGGAGACCCTGGGGACAGAGTGGCTGGATGCAAGGTCCCCCAAGGGGCAGGGGGATGGCAGGGAAGGGGCGTCAGGCCTGGGGGAGGTCACCTGCCCCACCCTCCCTCCAAGGCCCTTGTGTGGCTGGGTGGGGCTGGCCCTGGGTCCTCTCCCTCTCCCCCGTCCCTGAGCGTCACTGGTGACCTCCCCATGGACTTGTCCAGCTTGCCAGTACCCTGCGGTTTTGCCTCCTGAGTATGTTGAAACGTTCCTAGTCCAGCTCTTGCCTGCAGCCACCCCCATCGAATCTGGCCTGCCGTGGCCCCCGCCCTGCAGCCCCGAGTGTGTGGTACCCCCTCATTCTCCCTAGCACCTCAGAGGAGGCCCTGCCTGGCTCTGACACTCCCTGACCTCTGGCCTCTATCCCCCTCCCTGGACAACTCCTGCTTCTCCACCAGCCCTGCAGACCCCTCTGACCCCAGCTGCTGGGGTCCACCCTGCCGGAGGTAGAAACAGAGCCAGCTGCATGCCACAGGTGAGGGCCCTCCCCAAGGCCTGGGGAGGGGCAGCGTGACCCCGGAAGGGCAGCTGCAAGGGCCGGGCAGTGCAGCTCACCCGGGCGACCACCAGCCCACCCTCAATGAGACCCCACAGCCCCTGTCCAGTGATGTTCAGAGGGCTAGGGCTCCCCGGGCACCCACTGGTCTGCACTTTCAGACTTGACTGCTTGGTGCCTGGGCTGGGATTTGGGGGCACTGCCCTTCCCCCGTATCCCTGGGACCCCCTTTGGGAGCCGGACACTCAGGTGCGCACAGCCCCCACCCCCAGCCCAGCCCCAGCCCTGTGCTGTCCGCTGCCCACAGCCCACTGTGTGGCCTTGAGTGGACTGAAGGTCTCGTCTGGCTGCGGGAGGGGCCCTGGTAGCTGCTGGGCCTGGAGGTGGCTGGGATGGTGGGCTGGCCCGCCTGTCCGGGGTGGGTAGAGGAGTAGCTAGCAGGAACCACTGCCTGAGGCTGGGCTCAGCCCAGGCTGGTAGCCTCATGTTCCAGAAAGGGCTGGGGAGCTCTCCACCTGCCCTCCTCCAGAGAGGGGCCCTTGTCCTTTTTGTCTACTTATGCCCCGTGCAGGAAGCAGGTCAGGGTAGGCTGGGGCCCTCAGGAGCGGGCACGTTTCAGCCTGGGGTGGGGGCAGGATACGGGCTGCCGGGGCCATTGAGGCAGCAGCACAGGAGGGGTCCTGGCCAGGCCACTCCTCCCTCCAGGTGGGAGCTTAGCTGGGGCGGGACCCCCACCTCCCCGGGTGAGCATTGCCGGCCGGTAGCCTTGGGCAGGCACCCAGGAGAGGCCCCTGGCCTGAACTCCTCTCACACCTGACTCTGGTACCTCTGAGCCCCAGGGTAGGTGGCTGAGTCATCTCCCCAGCTGGCACCCCAAATACCTTCTCCCCTTTTCCCATCCCATGGGAGGTGGCTGTGTGCCACAGGTGAGGGTGCAGAGCCCCCAGCTGCTCCCTGCCCTGAGAGTTTCGCCCCCTGGCATGGGGCCCTGGGCAGACCCTCTCAGGACAGAGCCTTCCTTGCAGGCCAGCCCTGCCAGGCCCTCACAGTGGGGGTAGCTGTGCCCCACCAGCCCCGAGGGGAAGACCAGGATCCTGAGGGCTGGGGTTCACCTCCGATGTCCTGGGGGAGATGTCCATGCGTTGCCAACTCCAGGCCTGAACCCAAGGCGCCCTCATCTGAGCACAGGGAGAGGCTGCCGGGACGGCTGGGTGTCTGGCTGACTGCCCCGCCCGGGCTCTGGAGCTGATAACCAGCGGATGCGGAGTGAAATGCAAACAGATAAGGCTGTTGGGAACTAGGCCCCCTGGACTGCTCCGGGCGGGCAGCCGTGGGGCACCACACTGCCCAGGGCCAGGGGTTATTGGGCCGCCTTTTGCCCTCAGTGAGCGCAGCTGGATGGGGAGTTAGCAAGGGCTTGCTCTCCGAGGGTGGCTGGTGAGGGGGCTTTGAGGAGGGTGGGGGGACCCTGGGCTGCCGACTCAGACTCTGGAGGCTGCTGGTCAAGTGGGGGTGGAGGTCAAGCTGGAGCTGAGGCTCATGAGACCACCTCTCTCCCAGGAATCCTCATCCCTCTCATGGGGGTGACATTTAGGACTCCCTTTGGGGAGCCCGGCAGGGCCCCAAAAGCACAAGTCAAATGGCCTCTGAGGGCAGCTGCAGCTCACAGCAAGGGGGCCCTGGGCAGCCCAGGGTGAGATGAAGGGCTTCCAGGGCTCCAGGTGAAGAGCAGGACTGGGTGGGGGGTGGGGCCAGGTCACCAGGAGGTGTCGGAGACCAGGCTGGAAGGTGACCTGGCCTAGAGTAAGCTGGGAGAGGTGGGTAAACTGAGGACCAGAGCTGGGGGTGGGGAAGGGACCCTGAGCCAGCCTGGGGGGCGGTGGTGCTGTGTGCTGGCGTGGAGTCTGGGCAGGTGCCCCGGCAGAGGTGCCTCTGCCAGCAATGGCGTTGGGGCCACAGGTCCTGCAGAGAATTTGAAGAATTTGTTTTTTTCCCCAGAAAAGCTCCAGGTATTGCAGCCAGACCTGAGTCTCTCTCAGGAATCACATCCAGGGCCCATTCCAGGCAGTTGGACGTGCAGTGGGGGCAGCCACTGAGGCCCAGGCAAGAAGGGGTGACGGGGCAGGTCCTGGTCCAGAGGGTTGTGGGGGATGCTGGCATGGCTGGCATGGCTGGCATGGCCTGCAGAGAGTCGAGGAGCGCCCAGGCTCACCACAGCTGGTTCTTCGGGTGTTGTTCAGGGGAAACACAGTGGAGGCCTGACGGGAACAGGTGGGTTTCCCGGCCACTCACACCAGGTGCCGGCCCAAGGGAGCCTTGGGCCTGATCTGCTGCCCAGCGGCCGTGAGTGCTGTGTGGCCCGTGGGAGGCCCCGTGCATATGGCCTGCAGAGTCAGGTGTGGGGGGCCCAGAACACGTAGGCCTGGCAGAAGCCCAGGTGGCACAGACGTGGCCCTACAGCCGGGCTCGGGGCCCCGGGAAGCCAGAGGCTCAGGCCCTCCCAGCTGGCATCAGGGCTGATCGGGGCTGAGACCGGTCATCGGAGCAGCCCATGTCCACTGTCCCCTGTCTCAGCAGCTCCCCGGGGGTCCCCCAAACCCCAACCCTCCCCCAGATAGGAGCACAAGCAGGGTGGCCAAGGAGCACCCCCCAGCTTACCCACGGACCCTGGCTCAAGACTGGTGGCCAAGGTGCACCCTCGCTGTACTAGGCAGTGGCCTCCAGTCCTGATGCCACCGACTCTTGGGGGCATGGCCAGTGCCCGAGGCGGATGCGTGCGCACACATGCTCCCAGGAGGTGTTTGTAACAACCCCAAACTGGAAATGACCCAGATGTCCATCAGAGCGCAGCCTGTTCACCTGCTCTTCCAGCTTCAGCAATTACAAACAAAGCAGTTAGAACACGTGTGTCCGTGTCTCAGAGGAGCATGTGCTGCCACTTCTCCCGGCGTGGACTGGCTGGATCACGTGGTTGGCGTCTGAATTTTTCAGAAACGGCCAAACTGTTTTCCGGCATGGCTGTGCCATTGTGCCTCCCACCCGTGATGTGAGTTCCAGCCCCTCCTCACCCTCCTGTATGCTTGACGTCGTCCGTTTTTAAAATTTTAGCCATTCTAACAGGTGTGCAGTGCTATCTGACTGTGGTTTTCATTTGAATTTTCCTAACGACTAATGGCGTTGAGCATCTTTCCATGCGTTTATTTGCCCTCTGTGTATCTTCTTTGATGAAGTGTCTGTTCTAACGTTTTGTCCATCCATTTTAAAATTGGGTTGCTTCAGTTTTGAGAGTTCTTTATATATTCTGCATTCGAGTCCTTCACTAAAAATACATACTTGGCAAAGATTTTTCTCCCAGTCAGGGCTTGTCTTTTTATTCTCTTAATAGTGTCAGAAGATACTATTAAGTGTCAAAACTTCTGTTCAAAAGAGCGGAAGTTCATTCTTTCCCTCCCTCCCTCCTTTCTTGCTTTCTTCTCTGTTCCTTCCTTCCTTCCTTCCTTCCTTCCTTCCTTCCTTCCTTCCTTCCTTCCTTCCTTCCTTCCTTCTTTCCCTCCCTCCCTCCCTCCCTTCCTTCCCTCTCTCTCTCTCTCTCTCGATGGAGTCTCGTGCTCTGCCGCCCAGGCTGGAGTGCAATGGTGCAATCTCGGCTCACTGCAACCTCTGCCTTTCCAGTTCTGGCAATTCTCCTGCCTCAGCCTCCGGAGTAGTTGGGACTACAGGTGAGTGCCACCCCGCCCGGCTAGTTTTTGTATTTTTGGTAGAGATGGGGTTTCACCATGATGGTCAGGCTGGTTTCAAGCTCCTGACCTCAGGTGATCCACCCACCTCGGCCTCCCAAATTGCTGGGATTACAGGCGTGCGCCACCTAGACTGGCCGAAGTTCTTAATTTTGGCAAAGCCCAATGTATTAATTTTTACTTTACACATCATGCTTTTAGTGTTGTGTCTAAGAAATCTTTGCCTAATCCAAGGTCATGATTTTATCATTATGAAAGGATCTTCTTTATTGCCAGTTCCTTGCTCTAAAGTCTACCTTTGTATTAATATTGCCACTTGATCTTTCTTTCTGTGTTAGCACGGTGTGTTTTTTCCTCTTCCTTTACTTTCAATAACTAATGTGTGTCTTTTACTTACAGTGAGATTCTCTGGGCAGCTTATAGAGTGATCTTGCTTTTTATTCTAGTCTGACAATCCACATCTTTTTATTGGGGGTGTTTAGACTATTACATTTAATGTAATTAGTGATGTGGCCAGGTGAAAAGCTACCATCTTGCTACTTGTTTTCTGTTCCTTCCATCTGTTCTTTGTCTTTCTTTTCTGCCTTCTTTTGGATTGACTATTTTTCCACAGTTCAGTTTTATCTCCTTGTTTGCTTATCTGCCATAACTTTTTATTATTTTAGTAGTTGTCTTAGAGTTTATAGTATGTCTACAACCTACTGTAGTCTCCTTTCCAAAGATATTATCACATTCCATATATAGAAGAAGAACCTTCCAGGCTGGGCACGGCGGCTTACGCCTGTAATTCCAACACTATGGGAGGCCAAGGTGGGAGGATCACCTGAGGTCAGGAGTTCGAGACCAGCCTGGCCAACGTGGTGAAACCCCATCTCTACTAAAAATACAAAAATTAGCTGGGTGTGGTGGTGGGCACCGGTAATCCCAGCTACTCGGGAGGCCCAGGCAGGAGAATTGCTTGAACCCGGGAGACAGAGGCTGCAGTGAGACAAGATCGTGCCACTGCATTCCAGCCTGGGTGACAGAACAAGACTCCATCTCAAAAAAAAAAAAAAAAAAGGTGCCTCACAGCTCCCTTCTCTTGGGTTGTGCAATTCTTGTCACCCATTTTGTGTCCACACACGATTCACACCGCACTGCATTGTTGGTATTTTTGTTTAATTAATTATTTTTTAAAGAGGCTTAAATAGTAAAAAAACTTCTATATTTACCCATACAATTACTATTTCAAATGCATTATTCCATCGTGTAGATCCATATTTCTTTTTTCTTTTCTTTTTTTTTTTGAGATGGAGTCTCGCTCTGTCACCCAGGCTGGAGTGCAGTGGCGTGATCTTGGCTCCCTGCAACCTCCACCTCCCGGGTTCAAGTGATTCTCCTGCCTCAGCCTCCCAAGTAGCTGTGACCTCAGGCACCCACCACAACGCCTGGCTAATTTTTGTGTTTTTAGTAGAGATGGGGTTTTACCATGTTGGTCAGGCTGGTCTTGAACTCCTGACCTCAAGTGATCTGCCTGCCTCTGCCTCCCAAAGTGCTGGGATGACAGGCCTGAGCCACCGAGCCCGGCCGTGGAGCCACATTTCTATCTGATTTCCTTTTCCACCCGCCTGAAGGGCTTTCTTTAACATTTCTTAATGGACACTGCAATGGTTATTTGTCTGAAAATATCTTCCTTTTGCCTTTGTTTTTGAAAGATGTTTTTCTAGGATGACAGCTTCTTCTTCCGTTTGTACTGTAAAGGTGCTGCTCTAGTTTTCTTACTGGCACAAGTTCCCCCGCCAAAAAAATCTGTTGTTATTTTAATATGTTTCCTCTTTGTAACACGCCCCCACCCCACAACTTAAGATTTTCTCTTTTACACTGATTCTGTATGATTAGGATTTGGTGTCATTTCCTTCATGTTTCTTGTACTTTGTACTCACTGAGCTTCTTGTATCTCTGGGTTTTAGTTTTCATTAATTTTTTTTTTTTTTTTTTGAAACAGAGTCTTGCTCTGTTGCCCAGGCTGGAGTGCAATGGCGCAATCTCGGCTCGCCGCAACCTCAAACTCTGGGGCTCAAGCAGTCCTTCCGCCTCAGCCTCCCGAGTAGCTGGGATTACAGGCGCCTGCTACCACACCCAGCTAATTTTTGTATTTTTAGTAGAGATGGGGTTTCACCATGTTGGCTGGGCTGGTTTCAAGCTCCTGACTTCAGGTGATCCACCTGCTTTGGCCTCCCAAATTGCTGGGATTACAGGCGTGAGCCACCGCACCCAGCCAAGTTTTCCTCAGATTTGAACAAATTATGGCCATGATTTCTTCAATTTTTCCTGTCCTCCTCTCCCTTCGTGGGCTCCGTTTACAGACGTGTCAGGCTGCGCGAAGCTTTGCCACCTACTGCTCGCTAAGGAGCTGTTTATTTTTTGGATTCTTTTGTCTTTCTGTGTCTCTATTATGTCTTCAAGTTCACCGCTGTCCTCTTCTGCATTGTCGCATCCGTTGTTAATCCTGTCCAGTGTGTTTCATCTCACACATAGTCATTTTCATCTTTAGATGTTTAATTTGGATCCTTTTTTATATGTTTCATGTTTTTTACTAAATACGTTCAATTTTCAGCATAGCATTTTGATGACATGGAATACTGTCGTAACGCCTGTTTTAATGTCTTTGTCGGCTAATTCCAACATCTGTGTTGGTTTTGTGGTTTGGATTAGTTGAATTTTCTCCTGATTATGGGTGGAATTATCCCCTTTCTTTACCTGCCTGGTACTCTTTGAATGGAGGTTGGACTTCGTGAATTTTACCTCGTGGGCTGCTGGATACTTTTGTGTCCTGGGGCTTTGTTCTGGGACATAATTAAGGGATTGGAGAGAGTTTGGGCCTCCTGGGCCTCGTGTGGCTCGTAGGTGGGCTCAGAGCAGTGCTGAGTCCAGGGCAAACTACGCCTCACCATTGAGGCAAGACCCTGAGGGGCACTCTGCCCACCGCACCGTGAACTTTGAGTGGCGAGGTTTCTCGGTGGTGCTGGCGGGAGCAGTGCTTTTCCCAGCCTCTGTGAGCTCCGCTGCTCTTCCTTCCAATCCTTCGGGTCGTTGCTCGCCAGCCTTAGTCTCCTCCCAGGCACGTGCTGAGCGGGTTCCCTGCCAAACGCTCAAGACGGACCTTCTGCAGGTCTCCAGGCTTTGCTCTGGGCAGCTCTCTCCCTGCCAGTGTCCTGTGCACTCCAGCTGCCGTGGTCTCCCCGGCCTCTCATCTGAGCTCTTCCTGAGTTCTCCTTCCTGGCCCCTTGTCCTGGAAACCCTCAGGCGGTGACCTGGGCAGTTTAGGGCTGTTTCCTGTCTGCCATGGACTGAACGTTTGTGTCTTCCCCACCCTCCGGTTCCTGTGTTGAAATCCTGGTGCCCAAGGTGACGATATTAGGAGGTGGGGACTTGGGGAGGTGGCAGAGCCCTCAAGAATGGGGTTAGTGTCCTTACAGGAGAGATCCCAGAGCCGGGCGCGGTGGCTCACGCCTGTAATCCCAGCACTTTGGGAGGCCGAGGCAGGTGGATCACCTGAGTTCAGGAGTTCGAGATGAGCCTGGCCAGCATGGAGAAACCCTGTCTCTACTAAAAATATGAAAATTAGCTGGGCATGGTGGTGGGCGCCTGTAATCTCGGCTACTCGGGAGGCTGAGGCGGAGAATCACTCGAACCTGGGAAGTGAGCTTGCAGTGAACCGAGATTGTGCTACTGCACTCCAGCCTGGGTGACAGAGTGAGACCCTGTCTCGAAAAAAAAAAAAAAGAGACCTCAGAGAGCTCTCCCACCCCTTCTACCAGAGGCGAAGGGGACCCAGTGGGAAGGTGCCGTCCGTGAACCAGGGAGTGGCCTCACCAGACATCGAATCTGCCAGAGTGTGGATCTTGAACGTCCCGTCCTCTGCAGCCGTGGAGATGCGTGTCTGTTGCTTTTATGCCGCTCAGGCCATGGCGTTTCCGGATAGCAGCCAGGTTGGAGGGACCCGCTGTCTCTCTGGGACCACTCTCTTCGTCGCCTGATGTCCACCGTCTTGACAGATGTTGTTTCCCATATTTCCTGGAGTTTTTTAGTTGCTAAATCCTGGCCTCTGCTACTCTCTTTGCTAAAAATGCTAGTCCTTGATGAAATGGAATCTTGATACTTTAATACAGAGTGGAACATAGTCACTAAATAAAACCTGGAAAAATGTAGAAGAGTAGCAGGAAGAGAACACACCCCAGCCCCGCGGTCCACCCACCCGCAGTCCCTATCGCCACCTCCTGGCTCTGGTTTCCCTGCTCGTGGGGCTGGGCAGCATTGCTGCAACTCTTGATTCGCTTTCCTGGGGCCACCATAACCAAGCAGCACAACCCGGGAGATGGCTCAGAGTCTCTCTGCGTCCTGGGAGCCTGAGATCCAGGAGTGGGTGGGTTGGAGAATGGTTCTCCCTGGGTCACTCTGGAGGACCTCTTAAGGTGGACTTCTTAAGGGACCCCCGGCTCCCACCTTGCCAAAGAGCCTCCGAGCCACACCTGCCTCCCGCAGGCCTCCAGTTGGTGCCCACATGCAGCCCCCGCCGTGGGGTCACCCTGGGGTAAGGGTCTCTCCTCCCCTGCTAACCTTCTGCTGGGTCTTGGCATCCCTGGGATGAACCCTCCTGGCCTGGACCTTGCCGGCCCACATCAACCCCCAGCCCTCTGCTCCTTGGCCTCACCCACAGCCTGCAGAATGTAGGTGAGTTTCCTGATGATAATATAATAATAGCAATGATGATGATGATGATGATGATGGCAATAACAATGATGACAGTCAACACTGCCGCGTGCCGGGCTCTGGCCCTTTGCATGTCTGGGCCGGCTGTACAAGGCACTGCTGGGGCTCCCGGGCTGGGAGCCAGGGACAGGCACCGTCACAGCAGCCAAGGGGCCCCCCTACCACCCCAGCACCTGCTGGCCCTGAACCAGCTGCTCCTTGAGAGCTTTGACAGACTCTTCCGCTTGGCAGCATTTTAATCTGCTGGTGCAAGAGCCTTGTCGCTTCCTCAAAGCCTGTGCCCATGGCCGTGGGCAGCTGCCTGTCCCTGTATAGGCAGAGCTGCGTCATGCCCTGTGGCCCCAGGTCTGGCTCTGGGGTTCTGGCTGGGCGGGGCCTGGAACCTTCTGGGAGTCACCATTGACTGGCTGCAGCCACCGGCTTCCCAGCAAGGATGTCCTCTTCTGTAGGAAAATGGGGACGTCGGGAGCATTCTCTGGACAGCAGGAGATGCATGTCGACAGGCTGGCCCTGCCTCTTCCCACCCCAGAGTGGTGAGTGGGGATTCTGGGGACTTCCCTGGCCCCCATGGGCCTCGCGTGTCCTGGTGCCCATGTGTCTCCAGTCCCAGGGTCGGCCACGGTGTGGACCCCTCCACTTTCCTCCAGGCCTGAGGTGGGGCCCGGGCGGCCTGTCAAAGAAGAGCCCAGCCCAGACCCTCCCCAGATCCCTGGGGGAAGGAGGCCACCAGGCACCCTGCCTTCCTGCTGCCTGTCAGGGTGAATCTCAGGGGACCCTGGTGCAGGAGGGGCTGGCTCTGAGCTGGACAGGCCTCTGGGGTTGCCCTGGTGGCCTTCCCTCTCTCTGGGTCAGACGTGCCCAGGCAGGGAGGGTCCAGGCCATGACAGAGCCGGGCCAGCTGGGGACAGGGCATCCCCCAGTGCAATCCTTGTAGCGAACGGGTCCTAGAGTGCAGCTGGCGGGACACTCCCGCCATCACTGGATTTACTGCAGGTGGAGACGGGTTCTGTACCCACGTAGATGAGGAAACAGGCACAGAGAGGGGGCAGCCTGCCCAAGGTCACCGGGGAGGGAGTGGAGAGGCTGGATGCCCTTGGGCCCAGACTGCAGCCTCCCCTCCCCGATGTGCTGCGGCCCCAGTGTCCTGGGCCCCATGTGGCGCCTGAGCCCACAGGTGTCACCAAAGGTCTGAGTTGCGGGGACAAAGGCGGGGACAGGCCCGAGGTGCGGGGACAAGGGCGGGGATGGGCCTGAGGTGCAGGGACAGAGGCGGGGACAGGCAACCCCTGCGGTTCGAGGGGTAGGTGGCCACACGTCAGTCCCTGGGAGGGCCAGGCAGGAGGTGGGCCCAGCGGGGCTGGGAAATGAGGGGCCAGTGCCCCCACGCTCACTGCAGGGGATGTGAGAGGGCGAGTGGTCGCTCAGCCACACCCACACCCGTGTGTACAGGACCCACGCCCGCCCGCCTTGCTGTCCCGCCCGTGCACGGCTCACACAGCTTCTCCCATTATTCAGGCGCTGCCGGGCCCTGCAGGACTCAGATCGTCCCTGTGCCACTTGGCAGGGTCACCCTCACGCCTGCCCGGTGGCCCCACCTGCCCCACCTGCCCAGCTTCTCTCCCTTCTCAGTGCTGTCTGTCCCAGAGCCTCCCATCAATGGGGCCAGAGGGCTCTGGCCCGGCTGTGGGCTGACTGTTCTCCCCAAGATGCCTGAGAGCCACCCGGGCACCGGACTTGCCAACATGCAGGCACACGCAGGCACACACCTGGGCCACACGGCCCTGAGCACACGCCTTGCCCAGCCCTCCTCCGGGCTGTGGTGCGGGTGCCAGGTGCCACCTGCTGGCGGGCTACAGCATCACGGCTCTCGCCCTCCGGAACCTTCCATGGTGCCACACCAGCCTCTGGTCTGGCTGCAGACGGCTTGGGCTGGGCAGGGAAGCTTCCACTGTCGGGGAACCTGGGACCACAGTCTTTGCTCCAAGCGCCCTGGGCGGGTAGAGGCCAGGTCCGGTATGAGGAGCCCTGGTTCCCTGAGGTAGACAGAGCCAGGCAGACGTTGAGGAGACATGGGGGCTGTAGCCCTGGCCCCACTGCCCGACTCTCTCTCTGCATTTCGGGAGCTGGCAAGATCCAAGGGGGTCCCCAAGGCCCTGAGGCTGCACTGAGCACCCCTTTCCTGCTCATTTTCAGATGCAGCGGTGTCCTGGACCCCTGGGGAGAGGTGACCCCCCCAGCAGGAAGCTGGGCCTGGTTTCTGTCCCTCTGCAGCCACAAGGCCTGGCTAGGATGCTGGGAGCACCACACCCTGGAGACTCAGCTCACCAAGGACTCAGGGGCGGGGGCTCCCCTGGCACCTGGGAAGCTGGGCCCCCGGCCCCCTGGACTCCCACCCAGACACCATCTCAACCCAGGTCTGTCTGCTCTCCCCGTCACTGCCCTGGGTTCTCCACTCCTGGACCCGACCCTGGTCCTGGGGCAGTGTCCCAGCTGCTGTGTCCCAGGCCCCCCATCCACTGCCCTTGGCCCACCTTCTATGTGGCCCATTAGAGGGGTGTGGGGGCTGCAACCTGCTTCTGCTGAACCCCTAGGCCTGCCAGGGGGCATCAGGATTCTGCACAGAGAGGCAGGGGACCCGGCCAGACATGCAGGTACCCACGTACCTAATTCTGGGCCTTGGGGCAAGGACTGCGTATTTATCCTGGCCCAGGCAAGTCTGGGGGTGTCTGAGGGGTGGTGAGACGTCTGGGCAGATTGTCCCTGCCCTGCTCTGCTCTGCCCCACCCTGGCCAGCCCTCCTGGCTTCTCAAGGTGCTCCTGGCCACGATGGCACAGTCCCCCAGGCCCAAAATGTGCCCCCATGCTGCCCGAATGCCAGTGCGGGGGCTGGTAGCAACCAAGGCCATGCCCTCCCCTCCCCCTCCTGGGGCACCTGCCCCCACGCTGTGGCCATGGCTCCCTGGCTCCACCAGCTTCTTGTGACCCCTGAGGCTCCCCAGCTCCTGGCCCCCCATGGAGAGTTCCCTCCCCATAAGGGGGGGCCAGACACCCCCCTGTGCCCACTCCTTGGGAGACTGGCATTAGATCCTGGCTGTGGGACAGGCTGGGCCACTCTGGGGGTGAGACCAGGCTTCTCCCACCTGGGGGACCCATCCTGGCTCCGGACTTGGGCGGGTGACAGCCTGGGTTTCCTGTGTCCTCACCGCCCGCTTATCAGCAAGATGGGGATGTGGATGACAGGAGTGCTGGCCACGGAGGGCCTGGTGTGGGTGGCCGTCGGGACGAGGGTAGTGTGGGCGGCCACGGCAGTTGGTGCTACTGCTGGGAGGGGCCGAAGGTGAGGCCCTCCTGGGCTGTGGGTCCCTGTAAGCCACTGCCCCCGTGGGGTGTGCAGTCACCAAGCCGACCTGCTGCCGGGGTTCCGCCCCCTCCCTTTCCCTTCTGCTTCCCCGGCACCTGTGTCCCAAGCCTGAAGCCCTGTCCGTGTCAGAGGTGGCACCTCCCTGGGCACGGGCACTTGGACGCTGGTGCCTCCCCTGCTGCGGACCCCTTTGCTGTGGTCAGGGCCTCCTCCCTGCACTGGCCCCGCCTGTGACCGCAGGCCTGGCGGGGCCCTCAATGGCCACAGAGGGCACAGGCCGGGGCCAGGAGGGCACCGTCTCCTGGGGCACAGATATGCTGGAGTGAGCTATGGAATTGTCCATCAGCAGCGGCAAGCTTTGCTGAGCGCCAGCTGTATGCAGAGCAAAGGCGGGCCAGCCGGGAAGGGCCAGTGAGGACCTGGAGTCCCCAGCATCCCCAGGAGCCTGCACCCCTACGCGGGGGACGCCTGGGCAGCTCCTCCCTCCTCCACTCCCCGCCCTCTCCTCCCCTCCTTCCTGCAGTTCCCACAGCTGTTTGGGTGCCTCCCGTGGCGCCTGGTTGAGCTGCAGGGGGAGATGTGTGTGGACACTGCAACCCTCCCGAAGCTGGGCCTGGAAGAAATGACTTCCCCAGAACCTTATCTGGGCCGGAGAGGGGCGTTGGCAGCGGGGGTCTTGCCGCCTTCCGGTCCTCTGCATGCCAGGCACCACCTGGGGCCGGGCCAGGGCAGGCTGCCTGGACACCATGGACCTGCCCAGCTGTAGGGGAGGTGTGTCCTGCAGCCCTACCCGAGGCCCAGGCCTGCGTGGCTGAGAGGACTGAGGACGGCTGACCCCCTTGGTGACTGCCTGGGCCCAGAGGGGAGTTGGGGGAGTGGTCAGCTGGGTGTGGCCAGCCCTGGGGGAAGGATCCAGGGACTGTGTCCACTTAGGGATAGGAGGCAGCTAGCAGAGCCCTCCCAGCTGACCAGGGGAGGCCCTGTGGGCACAGGAGGGGCCCCAGGTGTAGGTACAGGTGCAGGGCTGTGCGGCTCTGTGTCACCCAGGTGGAGCGTCTTGCCCCGTTTGATGGCTGACAAAGTGCCCTTGAATGCGTCAGACCCAGCGTGGTCCCAGGGTCCTGACCCTAACATACCACCCCAAATTACCCTCACCCCAGCCTACCCCTGCCCTAAATTCACCCCAAGCCTCCACCCAAACCCCTTAGTCCCAACACCTTAACCCTAGACCCAACCCTACACCCCAAGCCCTAATCCCTAACCGCTAGCCTCACCCTAACCTTCCTACCGGATGCCACCTGGCAAACATCCTCCTGGCCCCTATCTGCCCCTCCCCCGGGGATCCGGGAGGCAGTGGGGTCCCTGGGAGGCTGCTCCCTGCAGAACGCGATGGACAGATGCATGGGCACCGGGCCCCAGCACCCTCTGGCTTCCTTCATCCTCCCCAGGCACTTCCCCCGGGCCAGAGGGCAGCCTGGCAGCCCTGGACTCCGGGAGGGCCGAGTCTGGGGAGCTGGACGACGTCACATTCCACTCTTGATGATGCCGCCCCAGTCCTACAATCTGGACAGCAGGAGAAGCTGCCCATTTCCTCCATCTCCGGTAATGAGAAGCAAATGCTGATCCTGGCCGTCTCCTGGCTCTTGGGTCCCTAGGTTCCTGCTGCCCCTGCCAGTTCCTGGAAGATGCCAGCAGGAGGGAGGGCAGTGGAGCTGGACTTGCGCCCACAACAGGATCTGGCCATAAACGCAGTCAGGGCGAGGCTGCGGGGTGGGTGGCTGAGCCTCCTGGTGGACTATCTCCCCTCCCACCCCCCGCCCTGGCCCGCAGCTGTTGGCTCTTCCTGGGAAGCCACAGCCTTTGTTTGTTCCTTGAAGGAGCTGGTGCGTTGCCTGCGAGCTCCTCTGCAGGCTTGGGGGTCGCACCTGCTGTCCACCCCCCTCGAAACCAGCTCCATCCAGCAGCAGGCTGCAAGCCTGGAGAGGCCACCGGGGACCAGGCAGGGAAACTGAGGTCCCAAAAAGGCAGGGAACAGGTGCAGGGGGCCTGTCTGACCTGCGCTGGGACTGGGCCAGGTGAGTCTCCTCCAGGGCCCAGCCCCATCTTGGACAGAGGAAGTTGATAGTCAGGAAAGGCAGGAGTGGCCTCTTCTAACAATTTCAGCTCTGAAGGGGCCAAGGGTGGCGATGCTGACAGCATTTCCTCCAGCTCCCACCTGCCTGCTCCGGGGAACTCCCTACCCAGGCATTGATATTCACCTGGTGATACTAATAATTGTCTCAGGTGATAAATTGTCTCAGCTGCTCTCCCACATGGCCCACAGGTCCCTGGAGGTTCCCCGGATCCTTTCAGGGAAGACCATGGGCCCTAAACGATCTTCATAACAAAACTGAGAAGTGGCCTGGCTTCTTCACTGCGTGCCTGTGTGCTGGGATCTAGCGTGGCCCGACTGGGCAGCTCCTTTCCTTCCCTGACGCTGCTCCAGGGGAAAGAAGGACCAGGGTCAATCCGGGGTGCCCCAGGTGGATCAGCGAATGCCCCTGAAGCCAGGTGCCAGTTGCATCCCCGTCAGATGCCCCCACCCCAGTCTCCTGAGCCTCATTAGTCACCCCTCATTTTCCTCTGGGGACCCCAGGCCCCAGCTCCTGTCTGGTTAGAGGCTGAAGGGGTCTGAGCGACACCTACCCTAGGGGACCTCCGGAGGGGTCTTGGTGTCCTCTGACTTCTGTCCTCAGAAGGGAGCTCAGAATGCAGCTGAGGCTTCCCCTGGGGCCCAGGGTGTCTGTGTCCGAGCCACAGCCAGAGTGTGCCCTGGAGAGTCGCTGGGATGCACGGTGGGCTCTCGTCATCCTGTCCCCACTCCAGGCTCAGGCTGGAGCCGTGATGGCACCGCTGCACTCCAACCTGGGCAACAGAGTGAGACCCTGTCTCTATAAAATAAAAACAAAAATAAAGAAGAGCATGTGGTTTCTGCAGTTTCCTGGCCAAAAATGCATAACTCCAATCTCAATCATAAGAACACATCCAACGTCCCCAACAAGGGGAGGTTCTACACACACCTGCCCAGAGCCCCTCAAAAGTGTCAAGGTGTGAAAGACATGGAGGCATGTAGAAGACGGGAGAGCCAGTGTGGCCTGTGGTATGTTCATGACGGTCACAGGTCAGCGCCCACGGTCACTCAGCAGCCATGCCAGGCAGGCCCCAGGGGCCCAAGAGGAAGGTGGGATGTGGCGGGATGGGGGCTCTGCACGGCCCTGCAGCACAAGTGCCCTGCCGACTCCAGGGGCAGCAATCTGGTCCCCTCATGGTGCCATTCCCCAGGGACGGGTCCTCGCCTGCCTCGCCGGCCCTCCACAGACAGGACAGGGACAGGTCGTCAGCTGTCACGGAGGCCCTCGCAGTTTTCTGAATGTGGACTTGCTGTTCCTGCCCATGGCTTCGTCCACGGACTCGACAGCACCCCACTGTCCATCACACCCCCACCGATGCTGCTTCCCACAGCAGGACTCATCCCATGCTCAGGCAGTGCTCCCAGGAGCAGCGGGTTAATAGAGCGTGGGACGGCCCCTGAAGACCAGTTATGGCGCCGGCCAGGAGGCCCTCTGAAAGGACGGGCGCAACCCCGCAGAACAGACCAGGTGCTCGCCATCCATGTCCGGTGCCGCTTCTCTGTGGCGATGGTATCCAGGAATCACGGGTGGGAGTCACGGCCACAGTCCCTGTCGCACCAGCCGCCTGCCCACACAGCCACCGTTCACTCTAGCTTGAAGGTCCCGCTTCCTCAGGGAGGAGCACTCCCTCCAGGGTCGAGGTGCTGGCCGTGTGGAGTTCGACGTCGGGACTGTCCCCAGGGGCCTCTCTTCCCACTGAATCGACAGAGAGAATGTGAGCTTGCTGTCCGGCGGGCGGGGCCGGGGATCCTGTCCGTCGAGGGGACACCGGATTGCTGCGGAGAGAGGACTAGACCCAGAGTCCAGCCAAGACCAGAACTGAGACCAGGCGACCAGCAGAGCCTGCACAATAATAATGCTTCGTTTTGCAAATGTATTTTGTTCTTTTATTGTATATATTTATCATGTCCAATGTGATGTTTTGAAACGTGTTTACATTGTGCTTAAATCAAGCAGCATAACACACATGACTTCACATACTTCCCATTTTTTTGTGGTAAGAACACTCAAATTCTACTCGCAATGATTTTCTTTCTTTTTTTCTCTCTCTTAATGATTTTCAAGGATGCAATATGGTGTTATTAACTGTAGTCACCATGCTGTGCAGTACATCTCTTGAATTTATTCCTTTTGTCTAACGGAACTTTTTTTTTCTTTTTGAGATGGAGTTTGCTCTGTCGCCAGGCTGGAGTGCAGTGGCACGATCTCGGCTTACTGTAACCTCTATCTCCCAGGTTCAAGCAACTCTCATGCCTCAGCCTCTGGAGTAGCTGGGATTACAGGCACCCGCCACCACGCCCAGCTAATTTTTTTGTTTGTTTGTTTTTTGAACCGGAGTCTCACTCTGTTGCCAGGCTGGAGTGCCGTGGTGCCATCTTGGCTCACTGCAACCTCCGCCTCCTGGGTTCAAGCGATTCTCCTGCCTCAGCCTTCTGAGTAGCTGGGATTACAGGCGCCTGCCACCATGCCTAGCTAATTTTTGTATTTTTAGTAGAGATGGGGTTTCACCATGTTGGCCAGGATGATCTTGATCTCCTGACCTCATGATCTGACCGCCTCAGCATCCCAAAGTGCTGGGATTACAGGCATGAGCCACCGCGCCTGGCCTAATTTTTGTATTTTCAGTAGAGACGGGGGTCTCATCATGTTGGCCAGGCTGGTCTCGAACTCCTAACCTCAGGTGATCTGCCTGCCTCTGCCTCCCAAAGTGCTGGGATTACAGGCATGAGCCACTGTGCACGGTCTGTAACAGAAACTTTGTACTCTTGGACCAACCCCTCCCCAGTTCCCAGCCCCTATGTCCCTGGGTCCTCTCTCTGCTTCTGTGAGTTCAACTTTTCTAGGCTCCACTTATGTGTGAGATCATGCAGTGTCTGTCTTTCTGGGCCTGGCTTCCTTCATTCAGCATGAAGTCCTGCAGTTCATCCATGTCGGCACCAATGACACAATTCCCTCTTCTGTGGAGGAACAGTTCTCTGACGTGGATGCACCTTCCTTGGCTGCTGGACGCTGAGGCTGGTTCCATGTCTGGCCGTAGTGGACAGCGCTGCGGCGAACATGGGGTGCGGGTGTCTCTTCTGCGTACTGATGTGGCCTCCGCGTGTCACGCCCGGGAGTGGGACAGCTGGATTACGTGGTGGTTCTGTTTTCAGTTTTTTGGGAATCTCCATGCTGTTTTCCATAACGGCCATCATCACAGACTTCTTATCATGAAATCATTTTAGACTCGTAGAATCCTGGTAAAAATAGTATAGAGAATGGTGATCTGTCATCTCTGGGCAGGGCAAAGGGAGCTGGGGCGACCAGGCAGGAGGGAGGTTTGCTTTCATGATCTGTTCTTTACCTATTCAAAAACAATTAAAATAAAGGCCAAGGCAGATGGATCACTTGAGGCCAGGAGTTTGAGACCAGCCTGGCCAGCGTGGTGAAACCCCATGTCTACTAAAAATACAAAAATTAGCCGGGTGTGGTGGGGCACACCTGCAATCCCAGCTACTCGCGAGGCTGAGGCAGGAGAATTGCTTGAACCTGGGAGGCGGAGGTTGCAGTGAGCCGAGATCGCGCCACTGCACTCCATCCAGCCTGGGTGAAAGAGTGAGACTCTATTGCAAAAAAAAAAAAGAAAAGAAAAAGAAAAAGAAAAGAAAAACCAGAAAAAACACATAAAATGCGCCATTGCACTCTAGCCTGTGTGACAGAGTGAGACTCCATTTCAAAAAAAAAAAAAGGCTGGGCACGGTGGCTCATGCCTGTAATTCCAGCACTTTGGGAGGCTGAGGCGGGTGGATCATGAGGTCAGGAGATCGAGACCATCCTGGCTAACACGGTGAAACCCTGTCTCTACTAAAAATACAAAAACTTAGCCGGGCGTGGTGGCGGATGCCTGTAGTCCCAGCTACTCAGGAGGCTGAGGCAGGAGAATGGTATGAACCCATGAGGCGGAGCTTGCAGTGAGCCGAGATTGCGCCACTGCAGTCCAGCTTGGGTCGCAGAGACAAACAAACAAACAAACAAAAAAACCCAGAAAAAAACCACAAAAAAACCCCCATTAAAATAATTTAAAATTTTAAAATAATGTTTAGTAAAATAATGTTTAATAAAAAATAATGTTTAATGTTTAATGTGAGAAATGCTTATATGGTAAAAAATAAGGAAAAAGGATAATTTAAAAAAGAGTGAGAAGAAAATAGAGTCAGATATTTATCTGATCTTTAGAGAAGAGCACTTTTCTAAGCATACAAACAAAGGAAGAAATAATAAAGAAAAAAAGTGACAAATGTGTTACCTCCCTAAAAACGCGTGCGTAAGAACAAGGGTTTGATCCTCACTGACGGGGTCCCAGGTGCTGACTCGAGTCCAGCAAGCCCCAGAGCCAGAGGCTGAGTGCAAACCACGGAGGTGACCTCCATGGCAAGAGCGGTGTGGCGTGTCCGTCCCGCACAGACAGAAATGCGGTCCAGGGGTGTGGGAGGACCATGAAGGGGTCACGCTGAACGTGCTGCAGGTGCCCACCAAGCAGACAGTCTGCCTTTCGAGGTGTGGTTCAGGGAGTTAGCAGGGCGCTAACCGCTGGCTGCTTCGTTGGGTGCAACATAGACAGAAAAGGGGTCACATTAAACTGGAAAGGCCAGACCTGGCTTGGTTTACTGTGGAGGAAGGGATGCAAAGGCCTAGGGAGATTGGAAGGCTAGGGTAGGTTTGTCACTTAAGACCTCCTCACCCACCAGAAGGTCCAGAAGACAGACCTTTCCCCACACTGGGAACTAGATTAGTGAGTGGGGTAGAAATAGGGACAGATCCCTGGGCTGCTCTTCTCTGAGGGCCACAGACCTCACAGTGGGAGCCACAGCCACTCAGCTGGAAAAGAGTCGCAATGGGAAGAATCGACCCGGGACAGCCGAGCGGTGGCTTTCAGCCGTCAGAGGCGAGGGGGACCTGGGACTGCCAGGAGGTGGCTCTCAGCCGTCAGAGGCGAGGGGGACCTGGGACTGCCAGGAGGTGGCTCTCAGCCGTCAGAGGCAAGGGGGATGCGGGCGCCATCATGAGTAGCAGAGGCAGAACGACAGTCAAGCTGGGCTGACCCCTTAGCCACAGCTCTCCTAGGAGGAAAACAGAAAGCCTGGGAAGATGGTACTGGATCTGCGGGAGGCCAAGGTCGGGGTGTCACCTGAGACCAGGAGTTCAAGACCAGTCTGGGCAATATCGTGAGAACCCCATCTCTAAAAACTAAAAAATTAGCTGGGCTTGGTGGTGCACACCTGTGGTCCCAGCTACTCAGGAGGCTGAGGCAGGAGGATGGCTTAAGCCCAGGTGTTCAAGGCTACAGTGAGCCAAGATTGCATCACTGCACTCCTGCCTGGGCAACAGAGCGAGACCCTGCCTCAAAATCAATCAATCAATCAATAATCATGTTCTCAGCAAATATTTAACTTCCCCGATATATTGTGGGGGAAAAGAGGCTGTAAAACAATCTGTGGTAATAACCAGGAGAACTTAGGAGCACCCGTGGGTGCCCATGCGGGCAGAGATTCACGAACACTGTTCACCCCCATAACCAGCAAGGGTGCTGCTATCCAGAACCCATCGCAGATGAGCAACTGTGCCTGCCCAGGCCAGGCCACGGCACCCAGCAGCCGGGACCCCTCCCCACCTGAAACGATACTGCCACCTGGGGACCCCAGGCCGCTGACATGGGGACGCGCTAGAGCTTTCGAACACGTCTCTGCATCTGGACATGCCCTCGGTGCACGTGTATTGCTTTAAGTTCAGAGACGTCAAATGTCATTTAATGAAAAGACTCCGGCTACATAATTGTCCCCAGGAATGCCCAGGACAATGTCAGGAATCTCCCAGACCTGCACAGAAGGTGGGAAAGATTTTGAAGGATTAAGAGGCTTCTCGGGGGAGGGGGAGGGGGACATTTTTCTTCCACCCACGGACAGTTTTGTGTTTTCTGATTTCTGTAACGAGTGCCACAGCTCTGTATGGAAAACAGCACTGCCTTTGGCGTCCCTCCCAATTCCTGGCACATGAGTCAAGGGCTCCCATAGCGTCACCGTTGAGGGCAGGGCAGCCCCGGGCTCACAAAGTAAAGAAGGAAAGGGCCAGGCCTCACTGCAGGGTCACCCCGAGGCCATAAAATCCTGCACCTTATGCCTTGGGCACCATTTAATACAATTAAACGGTGCAATAAAGGAAGGGAGTAATAAAGAAAGCAAATGTCAGCCAGCGAGGACATCCGGCACAGGCCACACCCCAGGTCCAGCCCCACTAGGGTGGAGTTTGAGGTCCCTGGGAACCCCAGAGTCTATGCACTGCTGTGCCCAGCTAATTTTTTAACATTTCTGCAGAGACAAGGTCTCCCTAGATTGCCCAGGCTGGTCTCGAACTCCTGGCCTCAAGCGGTTTTCCCAATGTGGCCTCTCCAAATGCTGGGATTATAGGTGTGAGCCAGTGGGCCCGGCCACGTGCTCTTATGTAGCTTATCAGAGTGTATGACGCTGCCTGTCCCATTGCTGGGGATGTTAACCTTGAACCCTTGGTTCAGGTGGCGTCTGCCAGGTCTCTGCACTGCAAAGTTACTATTTTGCGACTTTGTAATTAATAAATATCTTAGGGAAGATACTTTGAATTCATGTAAATAACTTGTTTCTCTTCTAACCTCAGCCTATTGACTTTAGCATACCTCTGTAGACAGCTGTTAATCCTGTGGCCTCTGATGGTGATTTTCTATTTACTTCATTTCTTCTGCATTAAGTAACTGGAATTCTATTAAAATAAGCTGTTTCTTCTTATTTGTTTGTGCAGTTATTTACTTCACTATGGGTTTGTAGATACTTATTTTATTATTTGGGTTATAATCCAACATTATCTTTATTTTGTTTCTCAAATTGTTCCAGTGTTGGCCATGGCAGCCCCTTCACAGTGGCTCCTGTGTGCTTTCACCCTATCTGTTTTTGAGCCCTTCCTCACTTTCTGGCACCATAAAATGCTCCAGGTTTATCTTGTAATTTCCTTCCCCAGAGACCCAGCTACTTCTCTAAGGAGTCCTGATTCTTTTAATTGGAAAATGGTATTTAGAAACCAAGATCTGGACATTGGGTGTGGTAGTTACTACTGGGGTGTCATTTTTTTTTGGTAGACCTTCTCAGGGGAGAATACTAGAAAGCATCTGTATATACCCTAATCCATACACACACACATTCACACACACACACACACACACACACACGTGCGCACACACATTTCTACCTATCTCTTCTATCTCTCTATCCGTCTATCATCCATGAAACACATTGTTGTAAGCCCTTGGTTTTTGGGTGCTTTGTTATGCAGCAATAGCTGACTGATACATGCGGCTGGGATTGTGCACACTGTATTTTCAGGCTCTTTGACCAGATGTCTTCCTGGAAGGCACTGGTGGGAGGTGAGGAGAGGAGATTTCTGTTCCTTCACCAGCTTCTTTCAGGGCCCTCCAGCCATAGAGGGGGGTGGCTACTCCAGCCCACCACTTCTTTTGGCACTCCCAATACTGGCTCTGCCACTCCATCCTTTCTCTGTGCTCCTGGGTTCTGGCAGCCCAACCTCTTTCATTTGTTCCCCCAGCCCTGGGAGTGGAAGCTGCTTCCTGCTGTTCACAACGTCAGGTGCCTCGGTGCCCGTCTTCTCTTCCAGCCTCCAGCACCTGTGTAACCAGTTCTCTGTATTAACTTCCTTCTGTTTGAAATAACGAGTGTGGCTTCCTTTTCCTGACTGACTGCACAGTGATGGATGTCAAGTGGACTTTCAAGGTGAGTCTGAGGTACAGAAGCTGGAGATGCACTAGCGGGTGGATGAGGAGACAGACCCTCAGGAGGGAGGGGAACGTGCGGTTTAGCCAAAGCCGCATGTAGGGAAAATCCACCACGTTCCACTCCTACATGGGAAAAGAAGGAAAGCCTCAAATCAATGGTCTCTCTACCGTAAGAAATTAGGAAAGAAAGAGAAGAGCAAATTAAGCCCAACGTGAGCAGGAAAAGCAAAATCATCAATAAAACAACAAAATGAAACACTAGAGAAAAGTCAACAAAACCAAAAGCTGGTTCTTTGAGAAGATCAATTAGACGGATAAACCCCTAGCCAGGCTGGAGAATAAAAGAGAAAACAGACAAATTACCAATGTTAGGAACAAGACAGGTGACGCCACTGTGGATTCTACACATATTACAAAGATAATAGGGGGACATCATGAACTACTTCAAGTCGAAACATTTGGCAGCCCGGATGAAAAGGACAAACTCCTTGGACACAGGATGAATCGAAGATCACTTGGGCAGAAATAACTTGAATGGCCCTATATGTTAAAGGAATTGAATTGTAAATAAAACACAACAAAGCCTTCCTGCAAAGAAAACCCCAGGCCCAGATGGTTTCACTGGTGAATTCTACCAAAGATTTAAGAAAGAAGTATGTCAACTCTGCACAAACCCTTCCAACAATAACTGAAAAGAGAGGAACACCTTCAACTCTTCCTCTGAGGCCAGTATTACCCCGATTTCAAAACCACATAAAAACATTATAAGAAGACTATGAACCTTTCCTTTGAAAGCAGTCTTTAGATACAAGCTTTATCTGACACATTAACATGTTAGACTGCTTTCAAATGAAAGACTGTGTATCAAATGAAAGAAGGGGCTTATGAAGGTGTTGGAAATGAGATCATCGGGAAAAGAGTGTGGGAAGGGGCTTTCCTATCCCTCTTATTTACAACCCAACTTAATAAACACACGGTATACTATTTCCTGCTATTCTTTGTCCTATGTTTCCTGGTTATTTTGATAATGTACTTTACCACTGTGGCCAGTTCTTCTCCTGACTCTTTCACATAAATAAAGTGTCCATATTTCTGGAAAAAAAAAAAAGAAGGCTATGAACCAACATCCCTCATAAACACAGATGTAAAAATTCTAAACAAATTAAAAAAATATTTTACTTTAAGTCCTGGGATGCATGTGTAGAACGTGCAGGTTTGTTACATAGGTAAACGTGTGTCATGGTGGTTTGCTGCACCTGTCAACCCATCACCTAGGTATTAAGCCCCACATGCATTACCTATTTGTCCTGATGCTCTCCCTCCCCTCACCTCCCACCCCCCACCAGGCCCCAGTGTGTGTTGTTCCCCTCCCTGTATCCACGTGTTCTCATTCTAAACAAGATTTTTTCAAATCGAATCAAAAAATTTATTAAAACTATAACCACAGGGGATTTATTCCAAGAATCCAGAGTTGGTCTAACATTCAAAATCAATGTAATTCATCATGTGAACAGACTAAAGATGACCAATCATAGGATCATCTCAGTCAATTCAGAAGAACGCACTTGACCAGATTCAACACCCACTCCTGATAAGAACTCTCCTAAAAATAGAATATAACTTCCTCATCCTCATAATGGCATTTATAAAAAGCCTGCAGATGACATCATACTTAAACACTAATGCTTTCCCCTGAAATCAGGAACAAGACCAAGATACCTGCTCTCACCACTTCTAATGAACATGGTGCTGGAAAGCACAGCCAGGCAATCGGGAAGGTGAATACACTTAAAAGATCTAGATTGGAAGGGGGAGTGAAACTGTGACAGATGATGTGATCATCTGTGCATAATCGAGTATCTATAAAAGGCAGCGGCAGTTGTCCCTTGATATCCACGGGGCATGGGTGCCAGCACCCCTAGGACACAAAATGTATGCGTGCGCTAATCCTCTACATAAAATGGCATAGTCTTTGCATATAATCTACATACATCTTCCCATGTACTTTATTTATTTATTTATTTTTTTAAGACAGAACCTCTCTCTATCACCCAAGCTGGAGTGCAGTGGTGTGATCTAGGCTCACTGCAACCTCTGCCTCCTGGGTTCAAGCAATTCTCCTGCCTCAGCCTCCCGAGTAGCTGGGACTACAGGCAACTGCCACCACCCCTGGCTAATTTTTGTATTTTTAGTAGAGACAGGGTTTCACCATGTTGGCTAGACTGGTCTCGAACTCCTGACCTCAGGTGATCCACCCGCCTCGGCCTCCCAAAGTGCTGGGATTACAGGCATGAGCCACCACGCCTGACCACATCCTCCCGTATACTTTAAATCATCTTTATATCATGTTAAAATTTCTATTAGGGGCCAGGGTCAGTGGCTTACGCCTGTAATCCCAGCACTTTGGGAGGCCGAGGCAGGTGGATCATTTGAGGTCGGGAGTTTGAGACCAGCCTGGCCAACATAGCAAACCCCTGTCTTTAT
The DNA here is from genome assembly GCF_000001405.40 of Homo sapiens. Taxonomy (NCBI): domain Eukaryota; kingdom Metazoa; phylum Chordata; class Mammalia; order Primates; family Hominidae; genus Homo; species Homo sapiens. The sequence goes on from NW_015148966.2 coordinate 61,978, forward strand.
TAAAAATACAAAAAAAATTTAGCCAGGCATGGTGGTGTGTGCCTGTAATCCCAGCTACTCTTGTGGCTGAGGCAGGGTGCGGTGGCTCATGCCTGTAATCCCAGCACTTTGGGAGGCTGAGGTGGGCAGATCACCTGAGGTCAGGAGTTCAAGACCAGCCTGGTCAACACAGCAAAACCCTGTCTCTACTAAAAATACAAAAAGTAGCTGGGTGTGGTGGTGGGCGCCTGTAATCCCAGCTACTTGGGAGGCTGAGGCAGGAGAATCACTTGAACCTGGGAGGTGGAGGTTGCAGTGAGCCAAGATTGTACCATTGCACTCCAGCCTGGGTGATAAAGCAAGACTCCATCTCAAAAAAAAAAAAAAATTAAAAGCAGGTCTTGAAAAGATATTTGCACACTCATGTTCACAGCAGTTGAAGCCACCCAAGTGCCCCTTGACAGATGAAGGGATAAACAGAATGTGGTCTGTCCTTACAGTGGAATATTATTCTGCCTTGAAAAGGAAGGAAGGAAATTCTGACACAGGCTACAATACATAGATGACATGAGGCCGAGTGAAATAAGCCAGACACAAAAAGACCAACACGGTATCATTCCACTTATTTGAGGTATCTCAAGTTGTCAGATTCATAGCAACAGAAAGCAGAATGGTGGCTACCTGAGGCTGGGGGAGAGCGGAGGGTGTGTTTAGTGGGAGCAGAGTTTCAGTTTAAGAAAAATGAAGGTGTTCTGGAGCTGAATGCTGGTGATGGCTGCACAGCATGGTGACATAGTCAATACCACTGAGCCACGCACTTAAGACTGCGTAAGATGAGAAATTCTGTTATGTGTATCTTTCCATAATAAAAAGTCCCAAAAAATCAATTGTATCTCTCTATATTAGCAATAAATAATTGGAAATGGGAACAAACAATATCATTATAACGGTACAAAAATATGAAATACTTAGGGAAAAATCTGACAAAGGATGTGAAAGACGAGTACGCTGAAAACTGTAAACCATTGGGAGGGAAATTAGAGACCTGCAGAAACAGGTATGTACACCTTGTCCATGGGCTGGAAGACTCCATATTGCTAGGACGTAAGTTCTTTCTAAACTGATAAATATATTTAATGCAATTTCAGTCAAAATCCCTGCAGGCTTTTTTTTTTTTGGTAGAAACTGACAAATTGAGACTAAATTCAGAGGGAAATGCAGAGGACATAGAAGAGCCAACGCAGTCCTGAAAAAGGGGCAAAGTTGGAGGAAACTGAAACATTGGCTGGGATTGAGAACTGTTACAAAGCTACAATAATCAAAACAGTGCAGCATTAGCATAATGACAGACAAATAGGTCAATGAACAGAGTAAAGTCCAGAAACAAATTCATGTGTATATAAACAATAATTATTTTTTCTTTAAAAAAATTTTTTTTTGAGACAGGGTCTGACTCTGTCACCCAGGCTGGAGTGCAGTGGCATGATCTCAGCTCACTGCAACCTCTACACCCTGGGCTCAAGTGATCCTCCCATCTCAGCCTCCCCAGTAGCCATATAGGCACATGCCACCCCACCTGGCTAATTGAATTTTCAACAAAGGAGCAGAAGTACTGCAATGAAGAAAGAATAGTCTTGTCAACAAATGGGGCTAGAACAATTGGATATCCATACATAATAAGACAAACTTCAAGCCATACCTCATACTACATATAAAAAATTAACTCAAAATGCATCATGGAAAACCCCAAACTATAAAATTTCTAAAAGAAAACATAGGGGAAAATATTTGTGTGATCTTGGGTTAGGCAAAGATTTCCTACATGTAATACCAAAGGCAAAATTTATAAAAAAGTAAATTGATCAATTGGATTTTATCAAAATTTTGAAACTCCTACTTTAAAAAACACTATTGAGAGAATGAAAAGACAAGCCACAGACTGGGAGAAATATATCTACAAAGGATCTCTCCAATAAAGGACTCGTATCTAGAATACATAAATAATGTTTAGATCTTAAAAAGAAACCCACCCCAATAACCCAATAAATAATGGGCAAAAGATTTGAGTAGGCGTTTCACTAAAGAAGACATATGGGGCTTATAAGCCTGGGAGTAAACTGACTTTTTTTTTTGTAAGAAATTAGATATCCTAAGTTAAACAGTCACACAAGGATGTGAGGAGAAAGTGCTTTGACAGGAATTGCTATACTAGTCACAAGTACATTACCAAAGATTTCTCTATAATGGATTTAATATTTAAACACAGCACCCAGTATTTGTTGAAAAAGCAAAACTATATAATAGGGGTTTTTAAAATAATTTTTTTTTTGAGACAGTCTCACTCTGTTGCCCAGGCTTGAGTGCAGCAGCACGATCTTGGCTCACTGCAACGTCTGCCTCCCGGGTTCCACTGATTCTCCTGCCTCAGCCTCCCAAGTAGCTGGGATTACAGGTGCGCCACCACGCCTGGCTAATTTTTGTATTTTTAGTAGGGATGGGGTTTCATCATGTTGGCCAGGTTCATCTCAAACTCCTGACCTCAGGTGATCCGCCTGCCTTGGCCTCCCAAAGTGCTGGGATTACAGGTATAAGCCACTGTGCCTGGTCTAAAATAAAGTTTTTTAAAAAGTGAAAAAAAGAAGACATATGGATGGCAGATAAGTGTATAAAAAAATTCTTAACATCATTAGTCATTAGTGAAATACAATTTCAAGTAATAATGAGACAACATCACACACTTACTGGAGCGGCTAAAATTAAAAAGACTGACCATCCCAAGTGTTGACAAGGCTGTGGGGTAACGGATGTCTCATACACTGCCGGTGGGAATGTAGAAAGGTACAACCACTTTGGAAAGCAGTTTAGCGATTTCTCAAAAAGTTGAACATAGACCTACCTGTCTGATCCAGATACTCCACTCCTAGGTATTTACCTGGCAGAAAAGAAAGTGTATGTCCACACTAAGATTACACAAATGTTCGAAGCAGTTTTGTTCGTAGTGGCCTCAAATGGACAATGAGCCCAGTGTCCATTAGCAGGGAATGAATGAGCCCAGGAAGGAATGAGCTATTTACACAGCAATGCTGGATGCAATCTCAACATAATTATGCTTAGTGAAAGAGACCGAAGAATGCATACTGTATAGTTCCATTTACACAGAATCCTAGAAAATGCAAACAAATCTGCAAAGTCCTAGAAAATGCAAACAAATGCCATGGAAAAGAAACCCTGGGTAGCTCCCGAGTGGGGAAGGGTGGGAGGGAGAGATTCCAAAGAGGTGTAAGGAGCCCTGTGTGGGTGATGGGTGGGGACATATTCATCCTGATTGGGGTGGTGGTTTCCCAAGTTCAACCAATTTATGTCAAAACTGACCCAATCATACACGTAAACATGTGCGGTTTATTGTATGTCAATTCTAACTCAGTTAAGCTGTTTTAGCCTGTGTCAACGCACTTTCCTGACCAGTAAATCCTAAGTGTTTTCCTTGTTGCCACATAAAATCCTAGTCATAATTTATAGTGGATGCATGTTATTCTAGAGTTGTTTGGCTCTTAGAGATTTAAAATTAATCAGAGAAATATATTAGAGCCCAAACTATAGTGACAGTAAAAAATGACCAGTGCTTGCCAGGGATTTGTGGGGAAGGATGGAATAGCTGAGACACAGGGCATGTGTTAGGGTGGTACAACCATTTTGCATGCTACTATCCTGGTGGATATTTGACACTCTACATTTGCAAAACCCAGAAAACTTAATAGTGCAAAGAGTGAACCTTGATGTACACAAACATAAAAATATTCAGGAGGTTGAGGGATGCCACAGATGAAATGCGGAATGTGGCAAAACAATCCAACTGTATTTCAAATGCATGAAATAAACTCACAGAAGGGGGCGGGGGTGGAGGGATGTTGAAGGGCCCTGACCTTTGGGCACTTCGGCAAGGAGCAAGGGGGCACTGAGATTCCTGCCCTGGGGCTACGACACCACCCAGGAACCCCTGATCTTTCTGTTACTTATGACTGGGGTTTCTCCAAAAAGCAACAGTCTCCTTTGCAAAAAGTGGCCACACCATTATCAAGCGGTGGACAGTGTAAGTTTGGGGCTGGGAAGATTCTCTGGGACCACATTGCAGCTCTGCCATTCTTGGGCTGGGTGAGCCGAAGGAGTGCTTTCACCCTCTCTGAGTCTCAGTTTCCTTGTCTATAGGATGGAGTGAGGTGAGTGCCTTCCTCCCAGGGTTGAGGGCTCCAGTGAGGTGGGCCTATAGAGCAGTTGGCCTGTACTTGCTCATCATGAGCTCTTGTGAGGTGGAGCCCTGTGGAGCTGCCACAGAAGGTGAACTCCAGTACCAGGGAGATTTCATTTGTCCATCCTTTTACCCACCCACCCACCGATTAATCCATCATCCACCCACCCACCCACCCATCCACCCACCCACTCATCCATCTATCTGTCCATTTGTCCATCCATCCATCCATCCATCCATCCATCCATCCATCCACTCATCCACTCATCCATCTCTCCATTCATCCATCCACCTATCCAGTCACTCACTCACATATCCATCTATCCATCCATCCTTTCATCCATCCATTCTTTGACCCATCCACACATCCATCCCTCCATTCATCCATGCCTCCATCCATCCACCTATCCATTCACTAACCCATCTATCCATCCATCCATCCATCCATCTATCCATCCATCCTTCCATTCACCCATTCATCCACTCATCCATCCATCCATCCATCCACTCACCCACCCATTCATCTATCCATCCATCCACCCACCCATTCATCCATCCCTCCCTCCCATCCATCCATCCCTGACCCATTCATCCATCCCTTCCATCCATCCATCCATCCATCCATCCATCCACTCACCCATCCACCCATCCATCCATCCCATCCATCTACCCACCCACTGACCCATTCATCCATCCTTCCCTCCCTCCCTCCCATCCATCCATCCTTTCATTCACCCATTCATCCATCCATCCACCCACCCACCCATTCATCCATCCATCTAACGATCTGTCCCTCCCTCCCTCCATTTATCCACTCATTCACCCAGCCAACCACCCATTCATCCATCCGTCCACTCATTTACCCACTCATTTATTGATCTATTCATCCATCCATCCATCCATCCATCCATCCATCCATCCATCCCATCCATCTACCCACTGACCCATTCATTTCCCCTCCCTGCTTCCCATCCGTCCATCTATCCATCCATCCATCCATCCACCTGCTGACCCATTCATTCCCCCTCCCTTCCTCCCATCCATCCATCCATCCATCCATCCACCCACCCACCCACCCACCCACCCACCCACCCACCCAGAAGCAAAGTTATTGAGTGCATCTGCTGTGAGGGTGGCCATGGGGGGCCCACATGGGCTGCTGCCCTTGCAGCATTCGGAGCAGGATGGCCAGCAAGGGTCACACAGTGTGGCCAGGGTGGTGAGAACAGTGTTCAGTGTGAGGATGTGACACCTGGACCAAGTCTTGAGGGGCAAGTGCCCCAGGGTGTCTGGACTCCTGAAGCACAGCTATCCACCTGATGGCCCTGGCCCTGGGCTGCCCTTTCCTCAATGGAGCCTGCCCAGTGCCCGCCTGCCCAGCAGAGGCCTGGACTGGTTGAGGCCTCTCTTGATCCCTCACCTGAGAACAAACGCCTCTGTGTGCTCACTTGCTCACCCTCCACACCTCACAGAGCAGTGGCACCAACATCCCGCCTTTCACCTCTGCAGTCCTTGGGAGGTGAAGTGCACACCTCCAGGTGTCTCCGAACCTTTGGAGCCCCAGAAAGTGGACATGCTTGGGGTGTCTGAGTCTGCCCTGGAGAGCTGGACGTGACTGGTGTTTTATTTGCCCTCCCTTGAATCCTCAGATGCTCACCTGCCAGGGTGTAGGTCTGGGCCTTGCCACTGTGTCCCTGTGTGGGGCTGGGGTTGGAGCTGGGGTCCTCCTTGGTGTCCAGAGGGCTGAGAACCACGGCTTCTCTGGGTGTGCTCTCCATCTGCCCACCAAGGCAGGGCCAGAGCTGTGGCGCTGGGGTTGGGTGCCAGCCCCCACCACCCTGGTTAAGCCCAGTTGGCTGGGGGCTGGGCAGCCTGGTGCTGGCAGGGTTGGCTGTGGCAGGATGGCTCTGGCCTGCAGAATGGGTGTGGGCCAGCCTGGCCTCTTGTGTCCTGAGATGCTGGCCTTGAGATGGAGACACAAGATGCTCGGTGACTCAGTTTCCCCTTCTGTAATGTGAGCTAATAATCAGACCAACCACATAGGGACATGGAAAAATGGCCCCAGATGACACATGTGACTGACATGTGGGCAGCCTGCACTTGCTGGAGGCCGACATTTCAGTAATCAGCAATGGGGGCCACGTTTGGACCAACACAGGATGTAGGGAGACAGGGGCTGCCACGTGGGGATACCTAGGGCTGCGGTGTGGGCGGGTGGAGTGCTCTCCAGGAAAGCAGGCTCTGTGACTGGTCTCCCGCCCCCGTGGGAGAGGTATTGGCCACATGGGGAGTGCTTGCGGGGGTGGGTGGTGATACTCCAGGGAAGCAATCAGTGGGGCATGGGCCATTACTTCAGGCAGCCTAGGGTGGGCCTCAGGCTGGAGACCCCCGGAGGCCATCAGGAGGCAGCACGTCCTGGAGGCAGCACGTCCTGCTCCTTGGAGGACCAAGGTCTTTTCTTTCAAGGCCCTGCACTGATTGTGTCAGACCCACCTGCTTCGCCAGGGTCACATTTAAGAAGTCCCTTCACAGCAGCATCCAGCCCGGCGCCATGCCAAAGACTGGAGCCATGGCCAGACAGGCCGACTCACAAAGCCACCGTTCGAGCGACCGGGACGTGTGCAGGGGACGCACCTGCTGTCTTTGGCTCCCCCAGCAGCATAGGGGTTCTCTCTTCTCGCCCCCTCCCCAGCCTCCTCTTCCCCTTCCCCTTCCTCCTCCTCCTTTCCCTCTCCCTCTTCCTCCGGTGGCTCTGACCCCCACATGCCCCTCACCCGGGCTTCCTGGTGAGTCAGGTTTGTGGATACACAGTAGGGGGGCCGTCACTTCAGGTGCCATGTGACGTCAGTGCTGCCTCCTCCCTGCAGTCACTACTGCAAATTCCATGCAGCCGTTGGCAACAGTGTCTTGTCACGGTAAACATGTTGGGCGTGGGCAGGGTGGGGAGAGGCTGGGGGGGCCAGGATGCTGTCTGTGTGGGAAGCTGTACTCCAGGATGCTGTCTGTGTGGGAGGCTGTACTCCAGGATGCTGTCTGTGTGGGAGGCTGTACTCCATGCAGCCTCGTTCTGAGTCCCAGCCGGGGCCTGAGGCTGGGGCAGCCTGACATGGGGCTGGGGATGTGGGCTCCTGGCTCAACTGTGTCCGGCCCGCCGTTGGGTGGGTGGTCATTCCCACCACTGCCATCATGTTCTTGTCACAGAAAGCAGAACCGACAAGCATTTTCCTCGGAGTGGTCAAAGCCCCCACTCTCTCCCTCCACCAGGGTCCCTCGAACCCCATGGGAAAGCCACAGAGTGGCGATGGGGTCCCAGGGCAATACGGCTGCCCACTCTCCCACTCTGCACTTGCTGGAGGCCGACATTTCAGTAACCAGCAATGGGGGCCACATTTGGACCAACACAGGACGTGGGGAGAGAGGGGATGCAGTGCTGTGGAACTGCCTGGCCCCCATCGCCTCCACCACCACAGTAGATGCTGCGAATCTGGCAGTGGGGACCGGCTGAGGCTTGGAGGCAAAGAGGCTGGGGACACTCTCGCTTTGGGGGTGCCAGTGACTCCATAGTCGCCCCGGCCTGATGGAGCCCTCACTGTCCTCTTCCCCAGAACAGCTCCCTTTCCCCGTTAGGAATGGGGTTCAGCTCTCTGCACCCTGCCCCATGCAGGGCTGCCTGTAACCTCAGACAGGGCTCCTACCTGGGACCTTGCCATGGGCCAAGAGGGGTGTTGGGGTCAGACCCCTGAGCCTGGGAACCACCACTGCCCGTCCAGAGGGGACACAGGGTCAGATCTAGGGGACCTACCTCAGGCTTCAGGGCTGGAGGGGCTGTGCTGGGCAGCTTGTGCTCCGCTAGGATTCCTCCAATCCCCCCAGGGCAGGGGGAGCCTGGCCTGGAAAATCTCTGTCCTGAGGCCCGCCTGGGGCATGTCAGGGTCAGGGGACTGCAGTTGGGGCCGTCCTTGGGTTTCCCCAGGGCTCAGTGCCAGTGTGCGGAGGCCCACACCAGGAAGTGAACAATGATCTCCTCTGGCCTCGCCCAGCTGGCTCTGGTTTCCTAATCCCCGGTCCTCCTGGCAGGGGCCACACACTGAGCTTCCTCCACGTGCCCAGGTCCTGGCAGGGAGCGCAGACCCTGGGGCCTGGTGCTGGCGGGCACCGCAGGAGGGCGGGAGGGGCTTCGTCCCAGGCCCTGGGTCTGGGCAGCAGGTCAGCCAGGGAAACAGGCTTGGTGCTTTGGGCCCCGAGTCTCTATAACTGTTGGGGTGAGTCCCTCCCCACTGCCATCATGCTGCCGGCATGTCCCTGGCATGTTCAGGCCAAAGCCAGGAACTCAACTCAGGGCCCCTCTCTATTTTCAGGAGGAGAAAATTGTAGAGAGAGGGGAGGGCCCCCAGACCTCAGTTTACCCACTGGCGACACAGGGGTGCCTGCCTGTGCCCTCCCGGGCCGGGGCAAGCAGTGGTGGGCCCAGTGGTCTCGTAGTCTGGGGTCGGTGTGAGTTCCGGTTCTCCAGGCTTTTTTCCAGACAACTGCTGGGATTGGTGGGCGAGACCAAGGCTCATCAAAGGCACAGCCTTGGGGGCAGGATCCCCACCATGAGTCAGAGGTAGTTCTGGGGAGCCTGGGCAGGCTGTCACCTCCTCAGCTGTCAGGCCCGAGGTCCTCATGTGGTCCCCAGGAGAAGGGGCAGACGGCCACTTCCGGCCACCAGCCAGCTCCCTGTGTGCCTGATTCCGTAACATGTCCCCTGGCTGGGCATGTACTCCCCAAGTTCTAATTACATGTAACTGCAGAGAAGGGCTCAGCCTGGGAAAAGGATGGGCATAGGGGGTGGTTGGGGGCTGGGGCCTCTGACACAGCTCCATGAGCCCGGCCAAGAGTCCCACACAAGTCAGTGGCCCCCCCGGACCCTGAAGGATCCCACATCCTCCCTGCCCTCGGGGAGGCCCCTTTCTGGGGTCAGGCCTGGAAGCTGCCCCAGAGCTTGGGCCCCAGGAATGGGTTGGTCCTCCCAGCGTAACGTGAGCCTGATCAGGCCTGGGGACCTGCTCAGCGGGTGTCTGGGGGCCCATGGCGGGCTAAGGAGCCTGACCAGACTTGCTTCTGGCAGGACACCCCTCCCCCGGCCACCCTGGGCTCGCCCCTCTAGTAGCTGCATGTGTTCCCCGGGTGTGTGTTGGCATTCAGGCTACAGGGCTGCCTCATCCTGAAGAAGGCTGCGTTTACCCAGGGAGCCATAAAGAGATGACCTCCGATAACCTGAATCAATATTTCCCCATTGGGGCTCGGGCCCCCGCAGCTGTCTTCTTGATCATCTGGCAGATGCCACACCCACCCTTGGCCCTCCCCTGCCTTCCTGCCCTCCTACCCTCCTGCCAGGACATATAAGGACCAGACCCCTGCCCCCGGGCGCAACCCACACCGCCCCTGCCAGCCACCATGGGGCTGCCACTAGCCCGCCTGGCGGCTGTGTGCCTGGCCCTGTCTTTGGCAGGGGGCTCGGAGCTCCAGACAGGTGAGAGAGCAGACACAGGGGTCTGGGGCCTGGCAGAGTGTCCTGGGGGCAGGGCGAGGCGGGCGGGCAAGTCGCGTCTGGGAGGAGGAGCTGGTCCCAGAGTGCAGCCTGCGCGGCTCTGCTGAGGCTCCTGGCCCGGGTTGGTCCCTGGAAGCCCCCGGCCCTGCTGACTTTCAAGGAGCTGGAAGGTCGGGGCTCCCCTGCTATTCCTTTGGGGTTGACTGCCCGACGACAGTGTGGGTCTTGGGGCCAGCACCAGGTGGAAACAGCAGGTCAGGCCCCAGTGAACTGGGTCATTGTCCATAGGGGAGGAAGGGGTGGCCAGGATCCCACCAGAAGGCCCCATTCTCAGGTGGCAGAGACCCTTGAAGAGTTGGGGCAGCACAGCCCTTGCTGGGGAGCGGGGTGCCCAGAATGCCCTCTCCTACATCCCGCTTGGCACCCGGCCGCACTCCTCACCAGGCCGGGGGTAGAAGCCCTGAGACCCCTGTGGTGGGGTGACCAAGGCCCAGCAGAGGGCCCGAGGATAGGAAGGAACCTTTCCCGGCCAGGGGCCCTGTGCTGGGCTCGAAGCTGCTTCCAGGTGCTTCTTCAGGGGCCTTCTCTCGAGGGTAGCTTGGGCAGCCTTCCCCCTCCGGGGCCACTCACCCCTCATTCCCCGCTGCTCCCTCAGAGGGCAGAACCCGAAACCACGGCCACAACGTCTGCAGCACCTGGGGCAACTTCCACTACAAGACCTTCGACGGGGACGTCTTCCGCTTCCCCGGCCTCTGCGACTACAACTTCGCCTCCGACTGCCGAGGCTCCTACAAGGAATTTGCTGTGCACCTGAAGCGGGGTCCGGGCCAGGCTGAGGCCCCCGCCGGGGTGGAGTCCATCCTGCTGACCATCAAGGATGACACCATCTACCTCACCCGCCACCTGGCTGTGCTTAACGGGGCCGTGTGAGTGTGGTCGGTGGCACCCCTCCCACATCCTAGCAACGGGGGCTGATGTTTCCCAAAGGGATATTCCTTGTAGCCCTAGAAGACCCCTTCCGCCCCAGCACACAGCTCAGGAGAACAGCCTTGAGGTTTGGGTTCAGGTCACTAATTCATTCAACAAACACTGATGAGCCCCCACCATTCCCCCCATAGGCAAGGGGTTTCAGTTATCCCTTTGCCTGTGTGTCCCTGACAGCCCCTCCCCTCGGAGCCCACCAGGCTCCGGACAGACTTGGCACCCCTGGAGGCTGCATGTCTCTGGTCCTGTGCATGGAGTGGCCGTGTGTGCCCTCCCCAGGCTAGAGTTACAGAAGCCGGTGCAGGGGGCTGTGGGACCCCCTTCCCCATCCCCAGCTATTGCTCCCCTATTGTCTCCAGAACAATGAGGCCCTGTAAGTGCGTTCCCATCCAGCGCCTGCCCCTCTTCTGCCTGGGGATTTAGTTTCCTGCAAGGGGCCCCAGCATGGGCATGGGCAGGCGGGTGGAGGCCCTCAGGCATGGGCATGGGCAGGCGGGTGGGTAGAGGCCCTCAGGCGTGGGTGCAGGCAGGTGGGTAGAGGCCCTCAGGCATGGGCATGGGCGGGCGGGTGGGTAGAGGCCATCAGGTGTGGGCGTGGGTGGGTGGGTAGAGGCCCTCAGGCATGGGCGCGGGCGGGTGGGTGGGTAGAGGCCCTCAGGCGTGAGTGCGGGCGGGTGGGTGGATAGAAGCCGTCAGGCATGGGTGCAGGCGGGTGGGTAGAGGTCCTCAGGTGTGGGCATGGGCAGGTGGGTGGGTAGAGGCCGTCAGGTGTGGGCGCGGGTGGGTGGGTAGAGGCCCTCAGGCATGGGTGCGGGCGGGTGGGTGGGTAGAGGCCCTCAGGCGTGGGCGCGGGTGGGTGGATAGAGGCCGTCAGGCGTAGGTGCGGGCGGGTGGGTAGAGGTCCTCAGGTGTGGGCGCAGGTGGGTGGGTGGGTAGAGGCCCTCAGGCATGGCACAGGTGGGTGGGTAGAGGCCCTCAGGCATGGGCGCAGGCGGGTGGGTGGGTAGGGGCCCTCAGGCATGGGTGTTGGCAGGTGGGTGGGTAGAGGCTTTCAGGCATGGGCAGGCAGGTAGAGGCCCTTGAGGACCGAGGCACAGAGGCTGGGGTGAGTGCCTCTACCTGGACCAGCAAGGGGCACTGGCAGGAGGTGGGGTAGGGCCCCTGACAGTCTCAGGGGCAGCCTGGGGGGCTCTGGGGGGTTTGGGACCCCATGGGGGGATGTTCCACCAAGCAGGGGGCCTGGAAGGGGGCTGGGCAGCCTGGTCCTCCCTCCTCTCCCAACCTGGTGCCCTCAGGGCCTCTGAGGGGGGACCCTGCCCAGGACCGTGCCCCGAGGAGGGAGTGGAGAGGAGGGGCGTGCAGGCAGGAGGTGGCTCTGCCGGGGAAGCCCGGCCAGCGGAGATGGACAGGTGCTCTTTGGCCACTGCCTATGTCCCTCCACCCCAGAGGCCGGCCAAGTTGGTGACCCCAGGGCAGGAGCTGGGCCTGGCAGAGCCATCTCCACCACCCCAGGCGCCCAGCTTCAGTCCCCTCTGGGCGGCGGGGTCCCGGGAGGACAAGCTGGGGCGGGGGGGCCTGGGTGGTGGACCCAAGAGTGACCCCGATGTGCCTCCGCCAGGGTCAGCACCCCGCACTACAGCCCCGGGCTGCTCATTGAGAAGAGCGATGCCTACACCAAAGTCTACTCCCGCGCCGGCCTCACCCTCATGTGGAACCGGGAGGATGCACTCATGGTGCTCAGGGGTCCCCGGACTCGTGGGGCTGGTGGGGGCTCCGTCAGGCCTCTGGGCAGACCCCAAGGGAGGGCAGGGAGGGCAGTGCTCTGACCCCTCACCGAGAGGGCATGGGTGGGGCAGGGCCTCGGCAGCGCGGGGCGTCGGTGCTGGACTTGGGGGGCAGCAGCAGAAGCCGACCTGGCCCTGACCCCCCCAGGCCTCAGCCTTCCCCCAAACGCACTCGGCTTCTCAGGGACCTGCCCTGCCAGGCCGCTCCCTGGCTGCTGACCCCAGCCTTCCTGCCCCACCTTCCTCTGGCTCAAACAAGCCACGAGTCTTGGGGGTTCCTGGCGGCTGTGGGCCGGGCGGGAGGCCAGCTCACCTGCTCCCTCCCGCAACAGCTGGAGCTGGACACTAAGTTCCGGAACCACACCTGTGGCCTCTGCGGGGACTACAACGGCCTGCAGAGCTATTCAGAATTCCTCTCTGACGGTGAGGCCCGGAGGGCTTGGAGGGGGCAGGGTAGGCTACGGGCCCCCAGGAGCCCTAGCTGAAGGGCCGTGCATCCCCAGGCGTGCTCTTCAGTCCCCTGGAGTTTGGGAACATGCAGAAGATCAACCAGCCCGATGTGGTGTGTGAGGATCCCGAGGAGGAGGTGGCCCCCGCATCCTGCTCCGAGCACGTGAGTCCCCTCGGTCTGGGGTGGGGGTCCTGGCGGAGCTGGCCTCTGAATAGCATGCTCACCCTGCGTCTGTCCCCAGCGCGCCGAGTGTGAGAGGCTGCTGACCGCCGAGGCCTTCGCGGACTGTCAGGACCTGGTGCCGCTGGAGCCGTATCTGCGCGCCTGCCAGCAGGACCGCTGCCGGTGCCCGGGCGGTGACACCTGCGTCTGCAGCACCGTGGCCGAGTTCTCCCGCCAGTGCTCCCACGCCGGCGGCCGGCCCGGGAACTGGAGGACCGCCACGCTCTGCCGTAAGCCCCGGCGCCTTGTGGGCAGGGGACCCCAGGGAGACCCCACGCTGGTGCTTTCCCCAAGCCCGGGTGGGAGCTGTGTCTGCGCCGGGCACCTTGAGCTGGGGGGACACTCACCGCACCGGGCACCTTGAGCTGGGGGAACACTCACCGTGCCGGGCACCGGGAGCTGGGGGGACACTCACCGTGCCGGGCACCTTGAGCTGGGGGGACACTCACCGTGCTGGGCACTGGGAGCTGGGGGGACACTCACTGAGGGCACCGGGAGCTGGGGGGACACTCACCGTGACGGGCACCGGGAGCTGGGGGGACACTCACCACGGGCACCGGGAGCTGGGGGGACACTCACCACGGGCACCGGGAGCTGGGGGGACACTCACCGCACCGGGCACCTTGAGCTGGGGGAACACTCACCGTGCCGGGCACCGGGAGCTGGGGGGACACTCACCGTGCCGGGCACCTTGAGCTGGGGGGACACTCACCGTGCCGGGCACCGGGAGCTGGGGGGACACTCACTGAGGGCACCGGGAGCTGGGGGGACACTCACTGTGACGGGCACCGGGAGCTGGGGGGACACTCACCACGGGCACCGGGAGCTGGGGGGACACTCACCACGGGCACCGGGAGCTGGGGGGACACTCACCACGGGCACCGGGAGCTGGGGGGACACTCACCACGGGCACCGGGAGCTGGGGGGACACTCACTGAGGGCACCGGGAGCTGGGGGGACACTCACCGCGCCGGGCACTGGGAGCTGGGGGGACACTCACTGAGGGCACCGGGAGCTGGGGGGACACTCACCGCGCCGGGCACTGGGAGCTGGGGGGACACTCACTGAGGGCACCGGGAGCTGGGGGGACACTCACCACGCCGGGCACCGGGAGCTGGGGGGACACTCACCGTGGGCTGAGAGCCCTTCTCGGTGCACTTCGGGGTGGAGCGGCTGCTGTGCCCCAGCCTCACCCTCACTGCGTGGCCTCTGCGGTTCCAGCCAAGACCTGCCCCGGGAACCTGGTGTACCTGGAGAGCGGCTCGCCCTGCATGGACACCTGCTCACACCTGGAGGTGAGCAGCCTGTGCGAGGAGCACCGCATGGACGGCTGTTTCTGCCCAGAAGGTGCGTGTGGAGGATGGCCCCGCCCCGGCACTGCCCACCAGATGAGAGGCAGCCCTGGCCTGGGGTTCTCGCCTGCGCTGAGGGGACGGCTCCGCTGGGTGGTGGGGGCAGCGGCGGCACAGAAGTGCCTCTCCCTCCACCCGATACCGGGGGAGAAGGGGCCTCGGTGTGAGGCCCTTCCCAAAGGGTGGCTTCAGGGAGGCCGGGAAGGGGGCTGCCTTCCTGGTTATCACCCTGGGGACAGACCTCCTCCTGCCCGGCCCCTGGCCTGGTGCCTGAGGCCTTTGGGAGCAGCTCGATTGTCAGGGGCAGGAAGGTGGCCTGGAGGCTGGACCCCCATGGCCAGACCCCAACCCAGGGACCAGGTGGGGACCGCAGGCGTCAGCACAGGGGACCAGTGGTGCCTGCGGGTGGGAGGCCTGGCTGGCAGCCCCTCGGTGGGGATTCTGGCTCTTTCTGAGCCAGCCGGGGTGACATCGCCTCCCTGGCTGTCCCAGGCACCGTATATGACGACATCGGGGACAGTGGCTGCGTTCCTGTGAGCCAGTGCCACTGCAGGCTGCACGGACACCTGTACACACCGGGCCAGGAGATCACCAATGACTGCGAGCAGTGGTGAGTCCCGGGGCCAGGGCTGGGCACAGCAGAGGCTGGGGCGGCTGAGCCCTGACCCTGTGCCCCGCTGCCCAACAGTGTCTGTAACGCTGGCCGCTGGGTGTGCAAAGACCTGCCCTGCCCCGGCACCTGTGCCCTGGAAGGCGGCTCCCACATCACCACCTTCGATGGGAAGACGTACACCTTCCACGGGGACTGCTACTATGTCCTGGCCAAGGTAGGCTGCCCAGGGTCTGGGGCATGGGGCAGAGCTGGGGCTGGCATCCAGGCCCTTGGCTGTCCCGGGGTGGGTGGGCTGGCTGTCCCTGAAGCAGAGGGTGCCTGTGGGCTGTCCTGGGGCAGGTGACCATGCTTCTGCTCTCTGGCTGGAGAATAAGAAGCAGGCCTTCCTTTCTAAGCCACTGCCGGGTCCTAGGGTGCAGGGTGCTGCCCGTCCCGGCCCTCAGCAGCTGCACTGCCTCTTGCCCCATCACAGGGTGACCACAACGATTCCTACGCTCTCCTGGGCGAGCTGGCCCCCTGTGGCTCCACAGACAAGCAGACCTGCCTGAAGACGGTGGTGCTGCTGGCTGACAAGAAGAAGAATGTGAGTGGTCCTGCCCCCTCCTTCTGGAGCCCCAGGTCCCCCGAGGGGGGCCCTTCTCAGCCCTGAGCAACCTCGGCCTTCCCTGCAGGTGGTGGTCTTCAAGTCCGATGGCAGTGTACTGCTCAACGAGCTGCAGGTGAACCTGCCCCACGTGACCGGTGAGTTGTGCCCCAGGGAGGGGCCCGGGCCCTTCGAGCTCCACTGGGCCTGCAGTGATTCGGACAGTCCAGCCACCTCGGACCCAGGAGGCTGGGTGGGAAGGTTCCACGGGGGGAGGGTCCCTGCGGCACCCAGCAGGCTCCGTCCTGGGTCCTCTGCTGGAGGGGGTGGTGGGAGGGTGACACCCTCCCGCTGCTCACCTGGGCCAGGCAGGTCCCGGGAGCCCCGCCCCTCGCCATGCCCCTTACTGTGTCCCTCATCGTGCCCCTGCCCACAGCGAGCTTCTCTGTCTTCCGCCCGTCTTCCTACCACATCATGGTGAGCATGGCCATTGGCGTCCGGCTGCAGGTGCAGCTGGCCCCAGTCATGCAACTCTTTGTGACACTGGACCAGGCCTCCCAGGGGCAGGTGCAGGGTAAGTGGCCCCACCGGGGTTGCCCCAACAAAGGCCCACAGGGGGGCCTGCTAGCCCCAGACTCTTCCCAACCCTGTCCTGGCCCCTCAGGCCTCTGCGGGAACTTCAACGGCCTGGAAGGTGACGACTTCAAGACGGCCAGCGGGCTGGTGGAGGCCACGGGGGCCGGCTTTGCCAACACCTGGAAGGCACAGTCAAGCTGCCATGACAAGCTGGACTGGTTGGACGATCCCTGCTCCCTGAACATCGAGAGCGGTGAGGCTCGGCAACACGGGCGCCCCCACCTAGCGTGCCTAGGGTACCCGGCCCATGGCCTGGAAGGGCAGACGGGGCTCCCAGCAGGAAGCATGGGTGGTGAGGGGCAGAAGTGAGGTGGCTCTCCTCCAGGGGCAGCCCGGCCCCTGCTGCTTCCTGCTGTGGCTAGTTTATGGCGGCCATGGTGGCAGCCTGCCAGGTGACCTGGAAGAGGGCCTGGGCTGGTCCCTACCTGCCCCGTCATGTCCAGGATGCTGGGCCCTTGGGGGTGAGAGACGGGAGGTGGTGGGTGCCCTGCAGGGGTTTCTATCTAGCCAGGAGCTGCCTGGAAATTTGACTCACGGGGAGGAAGGGGCCTGGGCATCGGTGCACAGAGGGAACCATATCTGGGGCCTAGGCAGCCAGGCAGCAGGGCCCAGGGGATCTCACGGGGGTCCCGGGCCCCGCTGAAGTTCCGATCCCCCACTCCCCAGCCAACTACGCCGAGCACTGGTGCTCCCTCCTGAAGAAGACAGAGACCCCCTTTGGCAGGTGCCACTCGGCTGTGGACCCTGCTGAGTATTACAAGGTGGGTGGGACCCACACCCCCAGGCCCCCATGCCATCGAGGTGGACTCAGGGCACCCCCAGCCCCCCATGCCACCCGTGAGGTGGACTCAGAGCACCCGGTTGGGCCCACTGGTTGCTGTGTGTGCGTGTGAGCTTGCATCTGTGAGCGCCGGGCCACACTCTGCCTCCCTGCCTCACTGCCCGTCCACCTTGCTCTGTCGCCCAGAGGTGCAAATATGACACGTGTAACTGTCAGAACAATGAGGACTGCCTGTGCGCCGCCCTGTCCTCCTACGCGCGCGCCTGCACCGCCAAGGGCGTCATGCTGTGGGGCTGGCGGGAGCATGTCTGCAGTGAGTGCCGTCCCCGTGGGCTGCATCCTGGGGATGGGGTCCGGGCTTTGAGCTCCTGGGACGGGGCTGGGGGCCCTGAGCACGGGTGGTCCAGGGAGAGGGGTCGGCCCCCTGCAGCCACGGACCAGGCTCCAGCTTCGTCAGCCGGTGGTAGCAGGAAACCAGCAACTCCTATAGCAAGGGGCGGCCACGTAGCAGGGGCAGAACCTGGGGTGGGCCTGGAGCTGTGGCGGCCGAGTGTGGGAGTGGGTCCCAGAGTGTGCACTCCCTGGCCCCCTGGCCACCCTGGGGATGGGAGCTGGGCGTCTGGCTCTTCCCGTCCCTCACACCACCCCGTGGTCCTCTGCAGACAAGGATGTGGGCTCCTGCCCCAACTCGCAGGTCTTCCTGTACAACCTGACCACCTGCCAGCAGACCTGCCGCTCCCTCTCCGAGGCCGACAGCCACTGTCTCGAGGGCTTTGCGCCTGTGGACGGCTGCGGCTGCCCTGACCACACCTTCCTGGACGAGAAGGGCCGCTGCGTACCCCTGGCCAAGTGCTCCTGTTACCACCGCGGTCTCTACCTGGAGGCGGGGGATGTGGTCGTCAGGCAGGAAGAACGATGGTGGGTACCTGCTCGGGGGTCAGGTGTGGCGTGGGGGCGGGGGAGCTCCTTCTGAACCTGCCCCAAGCGGAGACCTGGGAGTCTCTACCTGGGGAAGCTGAGACACCCAAGGCTGAGGGGTGCCTGGGGTGGGGGGCGCTGAGAGGCATCAGGCTCACATCTGCGGGGAAGCTGCGGGCTGTCTGTGGCCGTCCTGCATGGGCCCCGCTCATCCCTGGCCTTTTCCACAGTGTGTGCCGGGATGGGCGGCTGCACTGTAGGCAGATCCGGCTGATCGGCCAGAGTAAGTGGCACTGCCCCGGCCACCCCTCCCCAGCCACCCCTCCCTGCCTGCCCTGGCCACCCTCCCCGGCCACCCCTCCCGGGCCTGCCTGAGACCCCCAGCTTCAGCTGGAGCTGAGGTGGCCCCTCCGTCCCACAGGCTGCACGGCCCCAAAGATCCACATGGACTGCAGCAACCTGACTGCACTGGCCACCTCGAAGCCCCGAGCCCTCAGCTGCCAGACGCTGGCCGCCGGCTATGTGCGTGTTGGGGGCGCTGCTGTGGGCGGGCAGGGATTCCTGGCTGGCTGAGCCTGGCTCTTGTGCTGTGCCCCCGCTAGGGTCTGGGTGCCGAGTCCTGAGGACGCAGGCCCTGTTGATGCTGTCCCTGGCCCTGGGAGGGAAGTGGCAGCCTGTGAGCCACCGGGGCACAGGGGCCAGTGTAGGGCCCTTGGCCGGCAGCCCTCACCAGTCTCACTGCCCTGTGGCGGGCCCAAGGGGAGGGAAGCCTGAGCCCAGGCCAGGGGGAGTGGTGGGAGGTCTGGGACATGACAGAGACTGCACGGTCAGGCCTTTCCTGGTTGCACATCCAATCCTGACCCCAGGGAGGGCTGCAGCCTCACCTGTCCACCCCTGAACCCCACTCTCTGGCTGTCCCCAGTACCACACAGAGTGTGTCAGTGGCTGTGTGTGCCCCGACGGGCTGATGGATGACGGCCGGGGTGGCTGCGTGGTGGAGAAGGAATGCCCTTGCGTCCATAACAACGACCTGTATTCTTCCGGCGCCAAGATCAAGGTGGACTGCAATACCTGGTAAGCTGGCCCGGCCTGTCCTGGCTGCCTCCCAGGCCCCACGTGCTCCGCAGGGGTGGCCACTGGAGAGCGGTCCAAGGGGCAAGTGCCTCTCCTGGGGGTTCCGCCTGGGTCTTGCGAGATCCTGTGGTGGCCCCTGTCCCACGGGCAGGGTGGTCTCTCATGTCAACTGCTGGTCTTGAAGCCATGGGAGAAGGGACATTTGGAGCCACTTTTGGGGCCTGCAGGTGTCCTGTGTGGGAGGCACAGGGAGCTGTCTGCACGGTGCCCAGGGTCTCCTCCAGCCACCCATGAGCAGGTCCTGGGTCCCTTCAGGCTCCTCTCCTGTCCTCCTCAGCACCTGCAAGAGAGGACGCTGGGTGTGCACCCAGGCTGTGTGCCATGGCACCTGCTCCATTTACGGGAGTGGCCACTACATCACCTTTGATGGGAAGTACTACGACTTTGACGGACACTGCTCCTACGTGGCTGTTCAGGTGTGGTCACGGGCACTGCCTGGTCGGGCTGCTTATGGTCAGGGACCCTCTGCCTGCCCCAAGTGCAGTGCTTAGCTCCCCGAGAAACCCTGAGACTTGGGAAGGCCGGCCTTTCCTCAGCCCCAGACCCGCACCTGCACCCGCAGGAGGATTCGTTCTTCTAGCCAGGGCTGGGTAGGGGTGGTAAAACCCCTCTGTACTGCCCAGTTCTGTGGTTCTCCTCTGGGTCCTCCTCTGGGTTCTCCTGTGGGTCCTCCTCTGTGGTTCTCCTCTGGGTCCTCCTCTGGGTCCTCCCTCCTCTGGATCCTCCCTCCTCTGGATCCTCCCTCCTCTGGGTCCTCCCTCCTCTGGGTCCTCCCTCCTCTGGGTCCTCCTCCAGGTCCTCCTCTGGGTCCTCCCTCCTCTGGGTCCTCCTCTGGGTCCTCCTCTGAGTCCTCCTCTGGGTCCTCCCTCCTCTGGGTCCTCCTCTGAGTCCTCCTCTGGGTCCTCCCTCCTCTGGGTCCTCCCTCCTCTGGGTCCTCCTCTAGGTCCTCCTCTGTGGTCCTCATTTGGGTCCTCCTCTGGGTCCTTCTCTGGGTGCACAAGGTGGGTGCACCAGCCATGGGGACTGAGGGCACCTGTTTGGGGAGCTGAGTAAAGGCCAGGGCTAGGCCGCTGCCCGCGCGGCTCTCCAGATCCAAATCCCACAGCCCTTTGAGGCACCGTGATCCCCAGGGACAGGGGACAGGCCTGCAGCAGGGTCAGGTCCTTGGATGGGCCAGGCCAGGGCCTGGTTTGTCTGCTCAGTGGCTGTGACCCTGCCAACTGGGGCGGGTGTGCCCCGGGACACCTGGGGTCCAGCTGTCCTGGCTGACCTTGCCCTCCTGGCCCCCAGGACTACTGCGGCCAGAACTCCTCACTGGGCTCATTCAGCATCATCACCGAGAACGTCCCCTGTGGCACTACGGGCGTCACCTGCTCCAAGGCCATCAAGATCTTCATGGGGGTGAGTGCTGCTGGCCCTGGGGACGCGTGAGCCCTGCGGGACCCTCAGACCAGCCAGTGACTGGGCCTCTCCTCCGGGCAGAGGACGGAGCTGAAGTTGGAAGACAAGCACCGTGTGGTGATCCAGCGTGATGAGGGTCACCACGTGGCCTACACCACGCGGGAGGTGGGCCAGTACCTGGTGGTGGAGTCCAGCACGGGCATCATCGTCATCTGGGACAAGAGGACCACCGTGTTCATCAAGCTGGCTCCCTCCTACAAGGTGGGCTGCCTCCCTGCCTGCCCTGCCCCCTCCTGGCCAGCCCCCCACCCCCTGCCCTGGTGTTTGCAGGACAAGCCCCTGTCCTCCCTCCAGCCCCTTTTTGGAGCCCCTGTGATGCTTGTCTCTTGCAGGGCACCGTGTGTGGCCTGTGTGGGAACTTTGACCACCGCTCCAACAACGACTTCACCACGCGGGACCACATGGTGGTGAGCAGCGAGCTGGACTTCGGGAACAGCTGGAAGGAGGCCCCCACCTGCCCAGATGTGAGCACCAACCCCGAGCCCTGCAGCCTGAACCCGCACCGCCGCTCCTGGGCCGAGAAGCAGTGCAGCATCCTCAAAAGCAGCGTGTTCAGCATCTGCCACAGCAAGGTGGGCTGGCCGGGCCATGGTGGGGCAAGTAGGCAGAGGAGGGCTGTAGGTGGGCTGTGACTGTGGGCTGGGGCCATGGGCGGGGCCGACTAAGCAGAGCAGGGCTGTAGGTGGGCTATAGCTGTGGGCGGGGCCATGGGCGGGGCCGACTAAGCAGAGCAGGGCTGTAGGTGGACTATAGCTGTGGGCGGGGCATGGCGGGGCTAACTAGGCAGAGCAGGGCTGTAGGTGGGCTATAGCTGTGGGCGGGGCCATGGGCGGGGCCGACTAAGCAGAGCAGGGCTGTAGGTGGACTATAGCTGTGGGCGGGGCCATGGGCGGGGCCGACTGTAGGCAGAGCAGGGCTATGGGCTGACTGTGGGCGTGGTGAGGGTGCCGTAGAGCATGCTAATGACCAGGGCGTGGTCATAGCAGGGTAGGGTCTTGGGTGCTCCTGGGGCTGGGGGGCTTCTCCACATGCTCCCCACACCTTCAGGAGTCGCCCTGCTGCGTCACGCACCACACGGCGCTTGTCCTCCAGCTTTGGCTCTGGCCGCTGCCTCCTTTGGTCACATGACCGTATAATCGGCCTCCCCTCTGAGACCCTGGGCTGGACCCCCGGCCTCCCTCTGCCTCCCCAGGCTCAGATATTCACCCGGAGGGAGAAAGGACATGTGTCCCCCATGCCCACACATCCCCAGCTACAGGCAGCTGGGGAGGACGGGTTCTAGGATGGCCATGTTACAGCTGAGGATGCAGAGGGGTTGGGTGATGGGTCTGCACAGCCACGGCGGGACAGGTGTCTCTGGACCCTCTCCCCAAGGTTGGCCCTGCCGGGGCCCTGGCTGGCTGGTGCTGGGTAATGTGCCCTGTCCCAGGAGCAGGGCCGGCCTCAGGGTCCTGAGCTCCAGGGCACTGGGGAAGTCCTGGCTCCATGAGGGCAGGACGGGCCCAGGACAGACCAGGGTGTTCTCCCCAGGTGGACCCCAAGCCCTTCTACGAGGCCTGTGTGCACGACTCGTGCTCCTGTGACACGGGTGGGGACTGTGAGTGCTTCTGCTCTGCCGTGGCCTCCTACGCCCAGGAGTGTACCAAAGAGGGGGCCTGCGTGTTCTGGAGGACGCCGGACCTGTGCCGTAAGAGCCTGCCCGAACTGCACTCAGGGCCGGGACGGGGGCTGGGAGGTGCTGTATTGCGGGCCGGGGTGACACTCCTTGTCCATCCAGGTGATGGGTGTGCATCACCCACCCTTTCCCCGACTTCTCCAGTGTCCTTCTTTGGGGCCCTGTGGGACCCGGGTTGGCAGAGCAAGCTTGATGCGTCTGCGTCCCAGCCCCCGACCCCAGATTCGCCCTCACCCCGGCCCAGGCCTGAGCCCTCCTGCGTCTGACCCTGGCCCTGTCTCCCCCAAGCCATATTCTGCGACTACTACAACCCTCCGCATGAGTGTGAGTGGCACTATGAGCCATGTGGGAACCGGAGCTTCGAGACCTGCAGGACCATCAACGGCATCCACTCCAACATCTCCGTGTCCTACCTGGAGGGTGAGCAGGGTGGGGCGGGCTTCAGCGGGGGTGATGGCCGAGGGGCCTGGAGGCTGAGTGGGGCAGCCCTCGGGAGAGGCAACAGTCCACTGGCCTGGAGGGTGAGCCAGGCGGCCCTCGGGGGAGGCTACGGCCGACGGGCCTGGCACTGTGGGGCTGAAGGCTGATGTCTGGAGACCCATGGGGACACCCGGAGGGAGGCCTGACCCTCAGGGTACCCACAGCCCAGGGCAGCCAGGCTCCCCTTGCTGCAGGATCAGGAGGGAAGCAGGCTATCGTGGAAACTGGGAGTGGCAGGGGTGGGAGGTGCTGAGGTTCGTGCAGAGCAGGGCGGGTTGGGGAGCATTTCAGGCACAGGTCAGGGGAGGCCCCTGCCGGGTGCTGGTGTCTGAGCTGAGAACCAGTGACGTGAAGGAGGGACTGGTGGGAAGTTTGGGAGGAGTATCCCGCCATGGGAGAGGAACATGGGTCTTGGGACTCAGGGCTGCTCGGGGGGCCCGATGAGACTGGGCAGGGCTCCTCAGCAGGCAGCGTTCAGGGCTCAGTGGGGTGGGGAGATCCAGGCCCTGCCTTTCCAATCCCCGGCCTTCCCAGAGGGGCATCCTGCAGAGAAGGGCCTGCCAGGGTAGGGACGGTGGGTGGGGTGTGGTGGACTGCGGTGGTCCCAACCCTATGCCCTGTGTCCACCAGGCTGCTACCCCCGGTGCCCCAAGGACAGGCCCATCTATGAGGAGGATCTGAAGAAGTGTGTCACTGCAGACAAGTGTGGCTGCTATGTCGAGGACACCCACTACCCACCTGGAGCATCGGTTCCCACCGAGGAGACCTGCAAGTCCTGGTACCTAAGCCCACGTGGCAGGGGGCCTGGGGGAGCTGCACATATGGGCACATGAGTACACACACACGTGTGAGCACACAGTGTACACAGTACACAGACACACAACCGTTCCACATGGGTGCACATGCACACAAACGCACACAGCATACCACGTGCACACACACGGTCACATGCATGCATGGTGCACACATGCACACATGAATGGATGCCAACATGCAGGCACACACAGTCACACATGCACACAGCGCACACATGGACACATGCCTAGACGCAGATACCCAGGCATACACTCACGGTTACACACTCACGCACATATGCATGGATGCAGACACGCAGGCACACACGGTCATATAGTCATACACCACATGCACACATGCACAGACAGACACCCAGGCACACACAGTTACACAGTCACACATGCACACATGCATGGATGCAGACACGCAGGCGCACACACACATGCACAGTGCACACGTACACATGCCTAGACACAGATACCCAGGCACACACAGTCACACATGCATGGACACAGAGTCACATGTGCACACATACACACGTGTGGACAGACATAGGCACAGTCACGTGCACACATGCACTCACACTCAGTCACACATGAACATGTGCTCACATGCATGGACACTGACACGCAAGGACACACAGTCACACATGCACACATGCATAGACACAGACACCCAGGCACACACAGTTACACAGTCACACATGCATGGATGCAGACACGCAGTCACACAGTCACACATGCACACACTGCACACATGTACACATGCCTAGACACAGATATGCAGGCACACACACATAGTCAAACATGCACACATGCATGGACACAAAGTCACACGTGCACACATGCACACATGCATGGACAGACACAGGCACACACAGTCACGTGCACAGATGCACTCACAGTCACACATGAACACATGCTCACATGCACAGACACTGACACGCAGGCACACACAGTCACACATGTACACGTGCCTAGACACAGATACCCAGACACACACAATTACACAGTCGCACAGTCACACATGCATGGATGCAGACACACAGGTACACAAGGTCACACAGTCATATAATGCACACATGCACACATGCATAGATACAGACACCCAGGTACACACTCACGGTGACACAGTCACACATGCACACATGCATGGAGGCAGACACACAAGCACACACAGTCACACAGTCACACATGCACACAGGAGCCAGGCTACAGAGGTACCAGTCCCTCACTGCGGCGGGGGGTCTTCTGTTCTCATCCCATCCTCTGGGTCTGGCTTTTTCCTTCCTCTCCTCGCCCCTGCTCTGTTCCCACAGTTACAACCCAGTGGGGGGCTCTTCCGGAGCTGGCTTTGGGGCAGTGCCTGGGGGCTTTGGGCTCGGTACTAGCCACATGGGGAAGCTGGGGGTCTGAGCAGCGTGGGCGCGTTGTCAGTGGAGTGGGACTTGTAGCCATGTGCTTGCTTTGCAGCGTGTGTACCAACTCCTCCCAAGTCGTCTGCAGGCCGGAGGAAGGTAAGCTGCCCTCTGCTGCCAGCCCTGCGGTGGCCGGGCCCATCCTGGGGAAGCCTGTGGGGCCTTGGATCGGTGGGGGGTGCTGGTCTCCTCCTGGGCTCTGCCCCTTTGGTCCCCCCCCAGCTCAGACCCACCTCCGATGTGTATCAGCCCTGGGGGGCTGCTGTGACCCATTTTGTTTCTTCTGGGGTGTCGGTGTCCTGTGGGGAATTTCCGTCACCCTCTCCCGTGATCCAGCTTCTGCGTTCTGATGAGATTCCCTTTATTCAAAGAGAGGGGCTCTGGGACGGGTGCAGTCTCACTGGAGCATTTCTTAGCTGCTTGTGGGGGCTCGGGCACACCTGGCCTTCTTCCTATCTTGCTCCTGATGAGGTGATTCTTGGCCTCACCCTCACCCCCAGGAAAGATTCTTAACCAGACCCAGGATGGCGCCTTCTGCTACTGGGAGATCTGTGGCCCCAACGGGACGGTGGAGAAGCACTTCAACATCTGTTCCATTACGACACGCCCGTCCACCCTGACCACCTTCACCACCATCACCCTCCCCACCACCCCCACCACCTTCACCACTACCACCACCACCACCACCCCGACCTCCAGCACAGGTAAGGCCCCCTGGTTCCCTCCATGCTTCCTCGGGCTCTCACCTTCCCCTGCATCCAGCATCCAGCACAGAGGGCTCTTTCGGGGGCAGGCCCCGGCCTGGTGCAGCCAGGCTGTGACCCCTGCACACCAGCTGCAGAGTGAGGTGACAGTGGCATTCCTCTGCACTGAGGTGTGAGGGGGCCTGCCCTGGCTCCCCTGGCCTGGTGCATTGAGATAGTAGCATCCTGACCACATCCCCAAGCCCAGACCACAGTGGAGGATCACCTGGGGAGATTTCTGAAAACCAGCAGGAAACTATCCCTAAGGGTTAGAGAAATTTTCTTATGTTCCCCTGCGTTTGTTCTGGTTGAAATCCTAGCTACCACTGAACAAGCCACCAGGGGTATGATAGCCACAGAAAAAAGAAACTTTTTTTAAAAAAGGCAAGATTTTAAAAGATCTTGAACTATATAATGATATCCTCTTTTCTTCCTGCTTTATTGCAGTTTTATCAACAACTCCGAGTAAGTGACGGTGATGATATTCATGATGACAAGCAGGGTGGGAGGAGCGAAGTCTTATAAAATCACCTGCAGGATGCTTCCTTCAGGGCCCAGATGTGAGGCTGGCGGGGCTGGACTCCTCTGCTTATGGACCAAAGATGGATGTATTTTGGCCACTTCATTCATGGTTTGCTGAGGCCAGGGGCTAAAGTGAGACCTGATTGGCTGTCGGTGACAATATTGCTGGTTAAGAGTGGAGACAAAGCCCCTTCCGTCACACTTCCTTACTGGAATGGGAAGCTCTCTTGTTATTGATTCTTTGAAAAAAAAGTATTGAAAATAGCTGAGGAAAGGGTCCATCACACCCAGGTGTGGCCCTGGGTGGCCCCGTCTCTTTGGGCTCAGGTTTTCAGTTGCAAAATGAGGATGGAAGTGGTGTCCAGCCCTGAGCTCTCTGGCCCTGCACTCTGGTTTTTTGGCAATGACAGGGAAAAGAGAGATTGCAGCTGGGGGATGGTCATGGAGGTCCCTGGGTCCTCTGAATCCTGGTGGCTTCCTGGAGGTGCCTCTCCCCAGGTGTGAGAGACAAGAACTTGGTTTTGCTTCCCTAGAGCTGTGCTGCCTCTGGTCTGACTGGATCAATGAGGACCACCCCAGCAGTGGCAGCGACGACGGTGACCGAGAAACATTTGATGGGGTCTGCGGGGCCCCTGAGGACATCGAGTGCAGGTCGGTCAAGGATCCCCACCTCAGCTTGGAGCAGCTAGGCCAGAAGGTGCAGTGTGATGTCTCTGTTGGGTTCATTTGCAAGAATGAAGACCAGTTTGGAAATGGACCATTTGGACTGTGTTACGACTACAAGATACGTGTCAATTGTTGCTGGCCCATGGATAAGTGTATCACCACTCCCAGCCCTCCAACTACCACTCCCAGCCCTCCACCAACCAGCACGACCACCCTTCCACCAACCACCACCCCCAGCCCTCCAACCACCACCACAACCACCCCTCCACCAACCACCACCCCCAGCCCTCCAATAACCACCACGACCACCCCTCCACCAACCACCACTCCCAGCCCTCCAATAAGCACCACAACCACCCCTCCACCAACCACCACTCCCAGCCCTCCAACCACCACTCCCAGCCCTCCAACCACCACTCCCAGCCCTCCAACAACCACCACAACCACCCCTCCACCAACCACCACTCCCAGCCCTCCAACGACTACGCCCATCACTCCACCAGCCAGCACTACCACCCTTCCACCAACCACCACTCCCAGCCCTCCAACAACCACCACAACCACCCCTCCACCAACCACCACTCCCAGTCCTCCAACGACTACGCCCATCACTCCACCAACCAGCACTACTACCCTTCCACCAACCACCACTCCCAGCCCTCCACCAACCACCACAACCACCCCTCCACCAACCACCACTCCCAGCCCTCCAACAACCACCACTCCCAGTCCTCCAACAATCACCACAACCACCCCTCCACCAACCACCACTCCCAGCCCTCCAACAACGACCACAACCACCCCTCCACCAACCACCACTCCCAGCCCTCCAACGACTACACCCATCACTCCACCAACCAGCACTACCACCCTTCCACCAACCACCACTCCCAGCCCTCCACCAACCACCACAACCACCCCTCCACCAACCACCACTCCCAGCCCTCCAACAACCACCACTCCCAGCCCTCCAATAACCACCACAACCACCCCTCCACCAACCACCACTCCCAGCTCTCCAATAACCACCACTCCCAGCCCTCCAACAACCACCATGACCACCCCTTCACCAACCACCACCCCCAGCTCTCCAATAACCACCACAACCACCCCTTCCTCAACTACCACTCCCAGCCCTCCACCAACCACCATGACCACCCCTTCACCAACCACCACTCCCAGCCCTCCAACAACCACCACGACCACCCTTCCACCAACCACCACTTCCAGCCCTCTAACAACTACTCCTCTACCTCCATCAATAACTCCTCCTACATTTTCACCATTCTCAACGACAACCCCTACTACCCCATGCGTGCCTCTCTGCAATTGGACTGGCTGGCTGGATTCTGGAAAACCCAACTTTCACAAACCAGGTGGAGACACAGAATTGATTGGAGACGTCTGTGGACCAGGCTGGGCAGCTAACATCTCTTGCAGAGCCACCATGTATCCTGATGTTCCCATTGGACAGCTTGGACAAACAGTGGTGTGTGATGTCTCTGTGGGGCTGATATGCAAAAATGAAGACCAAAAGCCAGGTGGGGTCATCCCTATGGCCTTCTGCCTCAACTACGAGATCAACGTTCAGTGCTGTGAGTGTGTCACCCAACCCACCACCATGACAACCACCACCACAGAGAACCCAACTCCGACACCAATCACCACCACCACTACGGTGACCCCAACCCCAACACCCACCAGCACACAGAGTACAACACCAACACCCATCACCACCACCAATACGGTAACCCCAACCCCAACCCCCACTGGCACACAGACCCCAACCCCGACACCCATCACCACCACCACCACTATGGTGACCCCAACCCCAACAATCACCAGCACACAGACCCCAACCCCGACACCCATCACCACCACTACGGTGACCCCAACCCCAACACCCACCAGCACACAGAGAACAACACCGACATCCATCACCACCACCACCACGGTGACCCCAACCCCAACACCCACCGGCACACAGACCCCAACCACGACACCCATCACCACCACCACCACGGTGACCCCAACCCCAACACCCACCGGCACACAGACCCCAACAACGACACCCATCAGCACCACCACCACGGTGACCCCAACCCCAACACCCACTGGAACACAGACCCTAACCCCAACACCCATCACCACCACCACTACGGTGACCCCAACCCCTACACCCACCGGCACACAGACCCCAACATCGACACCCATCACCACCACCACTACGGTGACCCCAACACCAACACCCACTGGCACACAGACCCCAACCCTGACACCCATCACCACCACCACTACGGTGACCCCAACCCCAACACCCACCGGCACACAGACCCCAACCACGACACCCATCACCACCACCACTACGGTGACCCCAACCCCAACACCCACCGGCACAAAGAGTACAACCCCGACATCCATCACCACCACCACTATGGTGACCCCAACCCCACCACCCACTGGCACACAGACCCCAACCACGACACCCATCACCACCACCACTACGGTGACCCCAACCCCAACACCCACCGGCACACAGACCCCAACCCCGACACCCATCACCACCACCACCACGGTGACCCCAACCCCAACACCCACCGGCACACAGACCCCAACATCGACACCCATCACCACCAACACTACGGTGACCCCAACCCCAACACCAACCGGCACACCGAGTACAACCCTGACACCCATCACCACCACCACTACGGTGACCCCAACCCCAACACCCACCGGCACACAGACCCCAACATCGACACCCATCAGCACCACCACTATGGTGACCCCAACCCCAACACCCACCGGCACACAGACCCCAACCCCTACACCCATCTCCACCACCACTACGGTGACCCCAACCCCAACACCCACCGGCACACAGACCCCAACCCCGACACCCATCACCACCACCACCACGGTGACCCCAACCCCAACACCCACCGGCACACAGACCCCAACATCGACACCCATCACCACCACCACTACGGTGACCCCAACCCCAACACCCACCGGCACACAGACCCCAACCACGACACCCATCACCACCAACACCACGGTGACCCCAACCCCGACACCCACCGGCACACAGACCCCAACCACGGTACTCATCACCACCACCACTACGATGACACCAACCCCAACACCCACCAGCACAAAGAGTACAACCGTGACACCCATCACCACCACCACTACTGTGACCCCAACCCCAACACCCACCGGCACACAGAGTACAACCCTGACACCCATCACCACCACCACTACGGTGACCCCAACCCCAACACCCACCGGCATACAGACCCCAACAACGACACCCATCAGCACCACCACCACCGTGACCCCAACCCCAACACCCACCGGCACACAGACCCCAACATCGACACCCATCACCACCACCACTACGGTGACCCCAACCCCTACACCCACTGGCACACAGACCCCAACATCGACACCCATCAGCACCACCACTACGGTGACCCCAACAGCAACACCCACCGGCACACAGACCCCAACCCTGACACCCATCACCACCACCACTACGGTGACCCCAACCCCAACACCCACCGGCACAAAGAGTACAACCCCGACATCCATCACCACCACCACTACGGTGACCCCAACCCCAACACCCACTGGCACACAGACCCCAACCACGACACCCATCACCACCACCACCACGGTGACCCCAACCCCAACACCCACCGGCACACAGACCCCAACCCCGACACCCATCACCACCACCACCACGGTGACCCCAACCCCAACACCCACCAGCACACAGACCCCAACATCGACACCCATCACCACCACCACTACGGTGACCCCAACCCCAACACCCACTGGCACACAGACCCCAACCACGACACCCATTACCACGACCACCACGGTGACCCCAACCCCAACACCCACCGGCACACAGGCCCCAACCCCAACAGCCATCACCACCACCACTACGGGGACCCCAACCCCAACACCCACCGGCACACAGACCCCAACCACGACACCCATCACCACCACCACTACGGTGACACCAACCCCAACACCCACCGGCACACAGTCCCCAACCCCAACAGCCATCACCACCACCACTACGGTGACCCCAACCCCAACACCCACCGGCACACAGACCCCAACCACGACACCCATCACCACCACCACCACGGTGACCCCAACCCCGACACCCACCGGCACACAGAGTACAACCCTGACACCCATCACCACCACCACCACGGTGACACCAACCCCAACACCCACTGGCACACAGACCCCAACATCGACACCCATCACCACCACCATTACGGTGACCCCAACCCCAACACCCACCGGCACACAGACCCCAACCCCGACACCCATCTCCACCACCACTACGGTGACCCCAACCCCAACACCCACCGGCACACAGACCCCAACATCGACACCCATCACCACCACCACCACGGTGACCCCAACCCCAACACCCACCGGCACACAGACCCCAACAACGACACCCATCAGCACCACCACCACGGTGACCCCAACCCCAACACCCACCGGCACACAGACCCCAACATCGACACCCATCACCACCACCACCACGGTGACCCCAACCCCAACACCCACCGGCACACAGACCCCAACCACGACACCCATCAGCACCACCACCACGGTGACCCCAACCCCAACACCCACCGGCACACAGACCCCAACATCGACACCCATCACCACCACCACCACGGTGACCCCAACCCCAACACCCACCGGCACACAGACCCCAACCCCGACACCCATCACCACCACCACCACGGTGACCCCAACCCCAACACCCACCGGCACACAGACCCCAACATCGACACCCATCACCACCACCACCACGGTGACCCCAACCCCAACACCCACCGGCACACAGACCCCAACCCCGACACCCATCACCACCACCACCACGGTGACCCCAACCCCAACACCCACCGGCACACAGACCCCAACCCCGACACCCATCACCACCACCACCACGGTGACCCCAACCCCAACACCCACCGGCACACAGACCCCAACATCGACACCCATCACCACCACCACTACGGTGACCCCAACCCCAACACCCACCGGCACACAGACCCCAACCACGACACCCATCACCACCACCACCACGGTGACCCCAACCCCAACACCCACTGGCACACAGAGTACAACCCTGACACCCATCACCACCACCACCACGGTGACACCAACCCCAACACCCACCGGCACACAGACCCCAACATCGACACCCATCACCACCATCACTACGGTGACCCCAACCCCAACACCCACCGGCACACAGACCCCAACCCCGACACCCATCTCCACCACCACTACAGTGACCCCAACCCCAACACCCACCGGCACACAGACCCCAACCATGACACCCATCACCACCACCACCACGGTGACCCCAACCCCAACACCCACCGGCACACAGACCCCAACAACGACACCCATCAGCACCACCACCACGGTGACCCCAACCCCAACACCCACCGGCACACAGACCCCAACATCGACACCCATCACCACCACCACTACGGTGACCCCAACCCCAACACCCACCGGCACACAGACCCCAACCACGACACCCATCACCACCACCACCACGGTGACCCCAACCCCAACACCCACCGGCACACAGAGTACAACCCTGACACCCATCACCACCACCACCACGGTGACACCAACCCCAACACCCACCGGCACACAGACCCCAACCCCGACACCCATCTCCACCACCACTACGGTGACCCCAACCCCAACACCCACCGGCACACAGACCCCAACCATGACACCCATCACCACCACCACCACGGTGACCCCAACCCCAACACCCACCGGCACACAGACCCCAACAACGACACCCATCAGCACCACCACCACGGTGACCCCAACCCCAACACCCACCGGCACACAGACCCCAAGATCGACACCCATCACCACCACCACTAAGGTGACCCCAACCCCAACACCCACCGGCACACAGACCCCAACCCCGACACCCATCACCACCACCACCACGGTGACCCCAACCCCAACACCCACTGGCACACAGGCCCCAACCCCAGCAGCCATCACCACCACCAGTACGGTGACCCCAACCCCAACACCCACCGGCACACAGACCCCAACCACGACACCCATCACCACCACCACCACGGTGACCCCAACCCCAACACCCACCGGCACACAGAGTACAACCCTGACACCCATCACCACCACCACCACGGTGACACCAACCCCAACACCCACCGGCACACAGACCCCAACATCGACACCCATCACCACCACCACTACGGTGACCCCAACCCCAACACCCACCGGCACACAGACCCCAACCCCGACACCCATCTCCACCACCAGTACGGTGACCCCAACCCCAACACCCACCGGCACACAGACCCCAACCATGACACCCATCACCACCACCACCACGGTGACCCCAACCCCAACACCCACCGGCACACAGACCCCAACAACGACACCCATCAGCACCACCACCACGGTGACCCCAACCCCAACACCCACCGGCACACAGAACCCAACATCGACACCCATCACCACCACCACTACGGTGACCCCAACCCCAACACCCACCGGCACACAGACCCCAACCATGACACCCATCACCACCACCACCACGGTGACCCCAACCCCAACACCCACTGGCACACAGGCCCCAACCCCAACAGCCATCACCACCACCACTACGGTGACCCCAACCCCAACACCCACCGGCACACAGACCCCAACCACGACACCCATCACCACCACCACCACGGTGACCCCAACCCCAATACCCACCGGCACACAGAGTACAACCCTGACACCCATCACCACCACCACCACGGTGACACCAACCCCAACACCCACCGGCACACAGACCCCAACCCCGATACCCATCTCCACCACCACTACGGTGACCCCAACCCCAACACCCACCGGCACACAGACCCCAACCATGACACCCATCACCACCACCACCACGGTGACCCCAACCCCAACACCCACCGGCACACAGACCCCAACAACGACACCCATCAGCACCACCACCACGGTGACCCCAACCCCAACACCCACCGGCACACAGACCCCAACATCGACACCCATCACCACCACCACTACGGTGACCCCAACCCCAATACCCACCGGCACACAGACCCCAACCACGACACCCATCACCACCACCACCACGGTGACCCCAACCCCAACACCCACTGGCACACAGGCCCCAACCCCAACAGCCATCACCACCACCACTACGGTGACCCCAACCCCAAC
Source organism: Homo sapiens (assembly GCF_000001405.40). Classification (NCBI taxonomy): domain Eukaryota; kingdom Metazoa; phylum Chordata; class Mammalia; order Primates; family Hominidae; genus Homo; species Homo sapiens. The sequence goes on from NW_015148966.2 coordinate 96,237, forward strand.
ACCCACCGGCACACAGACCCCAACCACGACACCCATCACCACCACCACCACGGTGACCCCAACCCCAATACCCACCGGCACACAGAGTACAACCCTGACACCCATCACCACCACCACCACGGTGACACCAACCCCAACACCCACCAGCACACAGACCCCAACCCCGACACCCATCTCCACCACCACTACGGTGACCCCAACCCCAACACCCACCGGCACACAGACCCCAACCATGACACCCATCACCACCACCACCACGGTGACCCCAACCCCAACACCCACCGGCACACAGACCCCAACAACGACACCCATCAGCACCACCACCACGGTGACCCCAACCCCAACACCCACCGGCACACAGACCCCAACATCGACACCCATCACCACCACCACTACAGTGACCCCAACCCCAACATCCACCGGCACACAGACCCCAACCACGACACCCATCACCACCACCACCACGGTGACCCCAACCCCAACACCCACTGGCACACAGGCCCCAACCCCAACAGCCATCACCACCACCAGTACGGTGACCCCAACCCCAACACCCACCGGCACACAGACCCCAACCACGACACCCATCACCACCACCACTACGGTGACACCAACCCCAACACCCACCGGCACACAGTCCCCAACCCCAACAGCCATCACCACCACCACTACGGTGACCCCAACCCCAACACCCACCGGCACACAGACCCCAACATCGACACCCATCACCACCACCACTACGGTGACCCCAACCCCAACACCCACCGGCACACAGACCCCAACCCCGACACCCATCTCCACCACCACTACGGTGACCCCAACCCCAACACCCACCGGCACACAGACCCCAACCACGACACCCATCACCACCACCACCACGGTGACCCCAACCCCGACACCCACCGGCACACAGACCCCAACCACGGTACTCATCACCACCACCACTACGATGACCCCAACCCCAACACCCACCAGCACAAAGAGTACAACCGTGACACCCATCACCACCACAACTACGGTGACCGCAACCCCAACACCCACCGGCACACAGACCCCAACCATGATACCCATCAGCACCACCACTACGGTGACCCCAACCCCAACACCCACCACTGGAAGCACGGGGCCCCCCACCCACACAAGCACAGCACCCATTGCTGAGTTGACCACATCCAATCCTCCGCCTGAGTCCTCAACCCCTCAGACCTCTCGGTCCACCTCTTCCCCTCTCACGGAGTCAACCACCCTTCTGAGTACCCTACCACCTGCCATTGAGATGACCAGCACGGCCCCACCCTCCACACCCACGGCACCCACGACCACGAGCGGAGGCCACACACTGTCTCCACCGCCCAGCACCACCACGTCCCCTCCAGGTAAGCAGAGCTGCTTGGTTCCTCTGGCCTGGGATGCTTCTTCCTCCCCTTGTGCCGGGCAGGACTGTCCCAGGAAGGCTCAAGGCACGTTCTGGGCGCCTCTCTGCCCACGAAGCTTGGTCACTGTGTGGGCAGAAGCCACTGACACTGGCCAGTGCTGGGCAGTGAAGCCAAAGGCCATTCCGCTTGCCCATAGGACAGCCTTCTGAGGAGCTGCTGACACCGGCCAGTGCTGGGCAGTGGAGCCCTTGGCTATCCTGCTCGCCCATAAGACGGCCTTCTTCAGGGGCCCACTGCTATGTGATGCGGTGCTGTGGGAGCCCATCAAGGCTGGGGGGCAGAGAGAGGCTGCCAGTGAGGTGCCTGCGGGTCCACCTGCTTCTGGCTGCAGCCCCTCCTTGGGGCCTTTTCCTGGTGGACGGCGTGCCACAGCCAGTGCCTTCTGGACGCCTCTTGCTGGCCATCGGCTTGGCCAGCAAGCTGTGTTGCTGCCAGAGCACCAGGTCACCTGCAGGCTCTCGTGACACTCGGCTGTGGTGATACTGGCCTTGCCGCTCCACCCTGCCTGGTGACTCTGAGAGCCTGGGAGGTGGGCACGAGGCCCTGGTCCTCCAGTTCTGCCACCCGGTCGGCTGTCTGGCTCCCTTGCAGCTGGGGAGTGGCAGTTGGGACCCTGTGGCATCTGAGATGTGCAATGTCTCAGCCCTCACTGGTGTCTCCTGCTCTCACAGGCACCCCCACTCGCGGTACCACGACCGGGTCATCTTCAGCCCCCACCCCCAGCACTGTGCAGACGACCACCACCAGTGCCTGGACCCCAACGCCGACCCCACTCTCCACACCCAGCATCATCAGGACCACAGGCCTGAGGCCCTACCCTTCCTCTGTGCTTATCTGCTGTGTCCTGAACGACACCTACTACGCACCAGGTACTCAGGCTGTTCACATCCTGTGCTTGGGTGGCCGAGGCTGGCCCCGGCATGTACCAATGGGTCAGGTGCCAGGGCTGAGATCGCAGTAGAAGCGTCTCAGGAGGCAGCAGCCGTCGAGGGTGGCTGTGTCCAGGGCACGGCTTCCCTTGGGTGGCCTCTGTGGGGACCTCCGCTGTGGGGACCTCCACGGGGTCCAGCGGCTAGCCCTGCCTCCGGATAGCCCTGCCTCTGGACGGTGTGATCGTGGGTCTGTCTCCCTTCGCAGGTGAGGAGGTGTACAACGGCACATACGGAGACACCTGTTATTTCGTCAACTGCTCACTGAGCTGTACGTTGGAGTTCTATAACTGGTCCTGCCCATCCACGCCCTCCCCAACACCCACGCCCTCCAAGTCGACGCCCACGCCTTCCAAGCCATCGTCCACGCCCTCCAAGCCGACGCCCGGCACCAAGCCCCCCGAGTGCCCAGACTTTGATCCTCCCAGACAGGTCAGTGGGCTGCAGGCGGCTTTGTCCCCATGGCACTCTGCGCAGCATGTCCGGGCAGCTGAGGCCCCAGGCACCACTTCCTGCTGGTCGTCTGAGGGCCGAGGCCTCCAGCAACCCTTGGGTGCAGGGTCTGCCGAGCCCTCCACATTTTCACCGTGCCCCGCTGTGCCTGGCGAGGTGGCTGGCTGCAGTGAGGTCCGTGGAAGCCACTTCGGCCTCCAGCCTCCCGGCTCAGCACCCGCCCCTCCTGAGCGCAGACCACCCCATCCTGTGCCGGTCCCCCTGACGTCCCTTGCCTCCCGTCCCCAGGAGAACGAGACTTGGTGGCTGTGCGACTGCTTCATGGCCACGTGCAAGTACAACAACACGGTGGAGATCGTGAAGGTGGAGTGTGAGCCGCCGCCCATGCCCACCTGCTCCAACGGCCTCCAACCCGTGCGCGTCGAGGACCCCGACGGCTGCTGCTGGCACTGGGAGTGCGACTGTGAGTCCGGGGCCCCCAGGCCCTCCCCGCATCTCCTGCCCTCTCCGTGGGTGGGGGCTGCAGGGCCCGTCTCCCGGGGGCGGAAGGGCTGAGGCTCCTTGGGCACAGATCCCACTGAGGTGTTCGCTGAGGCTGGGTGACTTCTGAGGGTCTTCTCACAGCCCTGCTTTTGCCTCATTGGGTGGGGAGGGCCTGGGCAGGTGGAGGGCTTGCCTGGTGGAGTTAGGGCTCCTCCCTGGAACAAGGGTGCTTCTGAGGCAAGAGGGGGCTGAGTTGAAGTTTGAACCCTGGTCCGTCCTGCAGAATGGGCCACTGTGGGTGCGCCAGGGCAAGTGCAGCTCAGACATCCCCGTGCCCACGCACAGGAGTGGGGTTTTCAGGCCCCAGCTTCCTGCTGGCTCTTCCTGACTATGCCCCAGCCCAGCCCTTGCACCCGACCCCGGCCGAGGGGCACAGGTGGCACGGCTCACTCCGGCTCCCTTGCAGGCTACTGCACGGGCTGGGGCGACCCGCACTATGTCACCTTCGACGGACTCTACTACAGCTACCAGGGCAACTGCACCTACGTGCTGGTGGAGGAGATCAGCCCCTCCGTGGACAACTTCGGAGTTTACATCGACAACTACCACTGCGATCCCAACGACAAGGTGTCCTGTCCCCGCACCCTCATCGTGCGCCACGAGACCCAGGAGGTGCTGATCAAGACCGTGCATATGATGCCCATGCAGGTGCAGGTAGGCACAGCGTGGCCACAGGAGGCTGGCATGGAGGCGGGTGCTGACATGGGCCCCAATGCACCCTGGTTCCCCAGGGGCCAGAGGACTGGGCTGTGGGGGTGCCAAGGCATAGCCTCTCCTAGAGCTGGGCTAGAAGGTAGGATGGGGTGGGCGACTGGCTCCGGGACATATCAGCTCTTCCTGCAGGCCCTCCAGGTGTGTCCTGGGCCCCTCGAGCCCTGGCACCATGCCACGCTGGGCACAGTCTCTGCAGCAGAAGCTGCCTCCTGAGGACAGAGTCAGGGACAGGGCTCTGCACACCCTTGGCTGAGATGCCCCTACTTGCAGGGGAATCATTGGTTCTGAGGCTCAGGAGGCCCCGGGAGCCTGCGCCGGGCTCCACAGTCCCCAGGTGCTCCCAGGAGAGCTCCTTCACTGGCTCACCCATGGGACCAGGGTCTGGTTGGGAGCAGTGGAGTGGAAGCAAGAAAGGGGGCAGGAAAGCGGGGTAGGCAGGGCCCTCTCCCTACATGTGTAGGTCAGAGAGCAGGCGGGGTGGGGCAGCCCTGGAGCTCTCACAAGGAGAGGACCGAGGCAGCTGCAGCTCCCATGGTGTGTCGGCCACAGGTGCAGGTGAACAGGCAGGCGGTGGCACTGCCCTACAAGAAGTACGGGCTGGAGGTGTACCAGTCTGGCATCAACTACGTGGTGGACATCCCCGAGCTGGGTGTCCTCGTCTCCTACAATGGCCTGTCCTTCTCCGTCAGGCTGCCCTACCACCGGTTTGGCAACAACACCAAGGGCCAGTGTGGTGAGTTCCGTGACCCCCATGGCCCCCGAGGCCCCCACGGCTCCCACCGTCCCCTGTGCCCCCATGTCCTGCCCCAGGGCGGGTGGCCAGGCCAGGCTGAGGCTGAGGCTGCGTGTAAACACCCATGGGCCTGGCTGTGGGCCTCTTGCCCCGCTGCTCGGGGCTGCTGTGGCCATCACCCGGGTTCAGTCTCTGTGAGGAGCCAACAGGAGGGGGCCTGGCCTGGTCTCTGCCCTCGGCCCTGGCTGGCCGGTCCTGGGCATCTGGGCTGGAGAAGGGCAGGGCTTACCCTGTCTGCAACGTGGCCTCTCTCACTGATACAGGCACCTGCACCAACACCACCTCCGACGACTGCATTCTGCCCAGCGGGGAGATCGTCTCCAACTGTGAGGCTGCGGCTGACCAGTGGCTGGTGAACGACCCCTCCAAGCCACACTGCCCCCACAGCAGCTCCACGACCAAGCGCCCGGCCGTCACTGTGCCCGGGGGCGGTAAAACGACCCCACACAAGGACTGCACCCCATCTCCCCTCTGCCAGCTCATCAAGGACAGGTGACCCCGCCCAGGCCTGCCTGTGGCCACGACACCAATAAGCTGAGGGCCTCTGTGCCCCAGCCCCCAGCTCTTGCAAAGAGGAAGGAGGCAGCGCGTGGGGCCTGGCGCTGGGGCTGGGAAGGCACGGAGCCGCGGAACCAGGATCAGGCGCTAGGTCGCCGTGGGGTCCAGGACCCAGGCCCTTGGGTTCCACGGGGCTGAGCTGCTACGTGCGGCCTGTGCCTTTGCTGAACTCCAGTCTCTCCTGGCTCCCGGGAAGGTGCAGGGCTGGCCGAGTGTGAGGCCCGGAGTAAACCAGTCAACCCAGGACAGAGCTCAGGGCTGATATTGGGAGGGCAGATTTGGGCTTTGACAGAGAGGGGGTGCTCCTAACGCTGGCAGTCATGGGGGGTCAGCATCCTGTCCCTGGAAGTATAGGGGCCAGGTATAGGCTGGGTGTCCATCTGCCAGGGTTGCTGGAGGGGGTCCTGAAGCTGATGACCACATAGACGTGGTTTCTATCTCTGGGAGCCGGGCTGCAGAGCCACCTTGCTCGGCCATCCCTTGGTCTGTCCCTGAGCTGTCCCCCTGGCTGGCCTGTCCCTTGACCCTCCATCAGCCACAGGCGCCTCTCTGGCGGGTGCCGGACTCCAGGAGGACAGTCCGGGCAGAGACGCTGGGGTAGAGAGCAGGGGAGAGGCAGGTGCCACCTGAGTGTGACCTGTGCCTCTCCCTGCACAGCCTGTTTGCCCAGTGCCACGCACTGGTGCCCCCGCAGCACTACTACGATGCCTGCGTGTTCGACAGCTGCTTCATGCCGGGCTCGAGCCTGGAGTGCGCCAGTCTGCAGGCCTACGCAGCCCTCTGTGCCCAGCAGAACATCTGCCTCGACTGGCGGAACCACACGCATGGGGCCTGCTGTAAGTGCCCATCTGCCCCTGCCCTGGAGCTGGGGGCCTGCAGGCCAGACGTGGTCTCTAGGCTCTGCCAGGTGCTGTGCCCAGCCTGAAGCTAGACCTAGATGGGCTGCGGCCAGGGATGCAGAGATGGCGGGTGTGAGACCAGGGCTGGGGCCATGGGGTGGGGAAGGCCAGGCTGGAGGGGCTGAGGTGCTGGGGCTTCTGCCAGCATCGCTAAATGCAACTGGGTGCCCACCACCCAGCTCGGGACAACCTCGAGGGTGGAGGTTGATGCCCAGGCAGCTGGTCACCCTCCTCCGTGTGTGGGGCACTGGGCAGCTGTCACTCAAGGGGGTCCAGGCTCCTCCGCCTGACATGAGGCAGCCCTCTGACCTCTGCCCATGTCCCTCAGTGGTGGAGTGCCCATCTCACAGGGAGTACCAGGCCTGTGGCCCTGCAGAAGAGCCCACGTGCAAATCCAGGTATGTTGTTTGAGGGTCCACCAGGACCGTGGGCTCGCCTTCTGCAGTGCGGAGGGTGGCATCATCTGGGCATAGCAGTCCCACCTGCCAGCTCCCCAGCCCCACCCCACCTGTCTGACAATGCCCTCCCGCCCCCAGCTCCTCCCAGCAGAACAACACAGTCCTGGTGGAAGGCTGCTTCTGTCCTGAGGGCACCATGAACTACGCTCCTGGCTTTGATGTCTGCGTGAAGACCTGCGGTACGCCACCCACTCACACTGTCCCCTCCTGCCTCCCTCCTGCCTCCTCCTGGGTGTCCACGGAGGCTGGGACCAGGACGCTGACCACCCCCCACCTCTGATCCCTGTTGCACAAGGACTCTGCTAACACAACTTGTCTCCTGGGTGTCCATGGAGGCTGGGACCAGGAGGCTGACCACCCCCACCCCTGCTCCCTGCTGCACAAGGACTCTGCTAACACAACTTGTTTCTTCCCTCTTCCTAGGCTGTGTGGGACCTGACAATGTGCCCAGAGAGGTAGGCCCCACCGTGTTGCTGGGGGATCCTTCCACAAATTCTGAATTCTGGGGAGTGAGGGATGGACATGAAAACCTGGAGCCTCAAAGATTGAGGAATGAGGTCATCTAAGTCCTGGATGGCTGAGTTGGCATGGACACCACCCACTCACCCACCCATCCTTCCACCCACCCACTCATCCACCTGTGCACCCATCTACCCACTCACCTACCCCTCCATCCTTCCACCTACCTAGTCATCACCCACTCATCTATGCACCCCCACCCACCCACTCATCCATCCATCCATCCACCATCCACCTACCCAACCATCCACCCATCCATCCACCATCCATCTACCATCCACCATCCACCCAACCATCCACCATCCATCCATCCACCATCATCCATCTACCATCCACCCACCCACCTATCCATCCATCCATCCACCATCTGTCTACCATCCACCCACCCACTCATCCATCCATCCATCCACCATCTGTCTACCATCCACCCACCCACCTATCCATCCACCCATCCATCCATCCATCCATCCATCCATCCATCCATCCATCCACCCACCATCTGTCTACCATCCACCCACCCACCTATCCACCCATCCACCCACCCATCCATCCACCCAACCATCCACCATCCATCCATCCATCCATCCATCCACCATCCATCTACCATCCACCCTCCCATCCATCCACGCATCCACCCAACCATCCATCCATCCATCCACCATCCACCCACCATCCACCCATTTATCCATCCATTCTCCCTCCCTCCATTCACCACCCATTGGTCATATGATACTCTGTCTAGAAGCTCTGACATGACATCTTGGCCACCTCTGTGCTGCCCATGCCTCCTACCTGTGGTAGCAGCCATGTGGATGATTCCTTAGCTAAATTCTGTACAAACCTGAGAGGCCTGAGTGGAGAATTTGCCACGTGCCAAGCCCCTGCTTGTCGATGCTGGTGAGCAGGTAATGGCTTTGTGATATCAGTGAATGAGCAGCTACTGTCCTATCCCAGAACCTGCCTGGTGTGCTCAGAAGTGAGGAGGGACATGGTTTTCCCCCAGGATCCCTCAGCACTCTGCTCAGGGTGGCTGTTTCTCCCCGCTGACCACAGCTGCAGCTCCGGGGCTGTGGTGAGGTGGGGCCTGCCTGGTGCCACCTGTCCTCTCTACTCACCCTTCTTTCCCTGCAGTTTGGGGAGCACTTCGAGTTCGACTGCAAGAACTGTGTCTGCCTGGAGGGTGGAAGTGGCATCATCTGCCAACCCAAGAGGTGCAGCCAGAAGCCCGTTACCCACTGCGTGGAAGACGGCACCTACCTCGCCACGGAGGTCAACCCTGCCGACACCTGCTGCAACATTACCGTCTGCAGTAAGGCCATCCCCTGGGGCCCATGCCACCTCTCAGGGGTGCACACATCCCTGTAGGCTGGGCTGCCTGCTGTCCCCTCCTTGGCAAGTGAGGAAACAGCTGGCTTGGGGGCCTCTGCTGTGCCCCTTGAGAGGGCTTGGGAGGGGGCCGCTGGGCCCAGTCCAGGCATCCCTGCTGCAGGGCCTGACCTGGGTGGGGAGGGGACCCTTGGAGGTGCTGGAGGCCCGACCCTGTGCAGTGGCCCCGGGGGCTTTGCCTGGGAGGAGCCACCCTCACGGCCGCGTGCGCACCCTGTCTTCAGAGTGCAACACCAGCCTGTGCAGTGGCCCCGGGGGCTTGGCCTGGGAGGAGCCACCCTCACGGCCGCGTGCACACCCTGTCTTCAGAGTGCAACACCAGCCTGTGCAAAGAGAAGCCCTCCGTGTGCCCGCTGGGATTCGAAGTGAAGAGCAAGATGGTGCCTGGAAGGTGCTGTCCTTTCTACTGGTGTGGTAAGCAGGGCTGGTGGGCAGGGCAGGGAGGAGGCTGCCGCCCGGGGTGGGGTGGCTGTAAGGGGGTTGGCTCCCTCCTGGGGGTCTCAGATTCTGGGGACACAGATGGCTGTACGCTTGGCTGATGCACCCACCCCAGCCCTGAGCGCTCGCTCCATCCACTGGGTGTGCACCGGGAGTGGGGGTCTGGCCAGGTGGCCGCCCCGGGGCAGTCTCCAACGAACGGCCTTCTCCGTTCTTTCTCCCAAGAGTCCAAGGGGGTGTGTGTTCACGGGAATGCTGAGTACCAGGTGAGCCCTGGGCTGGGTGAGAGGGAGGAGGGGAGGAGGTCGGCTGCAGCGTGGGGGTCCTGGCAGGCTGTTGGGCTGGCTGGGATGCTGGAGAGGCCCCTGCCTCATGTCTCTCCCTGTGCCCGAAGCCCGGTTCTCCAGTTTATTCCTCCAAGTGCCAGGACTGCGTGTGCACGGACAAGGTGGACAACAACACCCTGCTCAACGTCATCGCCTGCACCCACGTGCCCTGCAACACCTCCTGCAGCCCTGTAAGCGGCCACCCTCCTCCTTCAGCCTGCCCTTTTCCCTCCTCCCAGACAAGCACCCGGGCCCATGTCTGCATCGTGACCCTTTCTTTCCTCCTTTCAACGCCAACCTGTCCCTGTCCCCACCTCTCCATCCTGACACCTGCCCAGCCTGGGGCCTCCTCCAGGTGGGGGGGTCTCGGCAGCCCTGCAGGCTTTGTGTGGTGTGGGGTACAGCCTGGGAGTTCAGTTGCAGTGGCGTGTCTATGTGCGCAGGGCTTCGAACTCATGGAGGCCCCCGGGGAGTGCTGTAAGAAGTGTGAACAGACGCACTGTATCATCAAACGGCCCGACAACCAGCACGTCATCCTGAAGGTAGGTGTGCACTGCCGGCCCCGACGCGGCCGGGTTGCTTGAGCCCAGGGCAAGGCGCGGGCCACCCAGGATCCCCCAGCTGAGTCCTCCCAGTCCTGGGCGCAGCTGTGATGGGCGCCCTGGGGCTGCCATGACAAATGAGCAGGCGTCTTCAGGGCAGAAAGGGATTCTCCTGGTTCTGCGGCCCAGAAATCCATAGAGCAAAGGGCCTCAGGGCTGTGCTCCCTCGGAGGCGCTAGGCAAGGACCTTTCCCAGCCTCTGGTCACTCTAGGTGCCCCTTGGCTGTGACCACGAGGTTTCCTTCCCTGTGTCTGCCTCTCCTCTCCCTTTTAAGGATTTAGGCACCCCAAGCAGGATGATCTCATCTTAGGATCCTTCACTTAATGACACCTTCAAAGACCCCCTTTCCAAGGCAGGTCACATTCATAGATTCAGAGTTAGAACACAGACAGACCTTTGAGGGTTGTGTGGGCTCCAGGCTGGTGCCTGATGTGGGGCCCCGCCCATGTCACTTGTCCTGTGGCCCTGGGCCTCACCAGGAAGCCTCCCCGGCCAGGTGTCTCCAGGGTGTCTTCCTGGCCGGGCTGGGGCTGGGCCTGCTGCCCTCCCTCACCAGAGCTCCCTGCCCCACAGCCCGGGGACTTCAAGAGCGACCCGAAGAACAACTGCACATTCTTCAGCTGCGTGAAGATCCACAACCAGCTCATCTCGTCCGTCTCCAACATCACCTGCCCCAACTTTGATGCCAGCATTTGCATCCCGGTGAGTTGGCCACCTGGGGCCTGGCTGTGTGTACTCTGCCGGGAGTGGGGGTGCCTGGTGTTCTGGGGGGCTGGGGCCCCAGTGCTGCGACAGTGACCTCGGGCCTGGTCTGAGCTGCCGCAGGAGGCTTTGCCTGGGGCTTTCTGCAGCAGCTACCCCCGCCCACGGCATCGTGGGAAGGTGCTCTCATCCCCAGGAATGTCCGGGGGTCCCGGGCTCATTCTCCTTTCCCTCTAGGGCTCCATCACATTCATGCCCAATGGATGCTGCAAGACCTGTGAGTACAGGGCACAGCCTGGGGGGTAGGCAGGGTGGGGGCACAAGGGCTGGTGCCCTCAGCCCCGCCTGGGGTGGCTGGAGGCTGGACAACGGCCTCTGGGTGGGCAGTGAGGGCTGGGGGCTGAGGCCGAGCCTGGGGAGGGGACGCAGCGAGGGAGAGCCTCCTCGAAGATGTGGAGGCCCTGCCCTAAGCCGCTGCCCGCTCTCCCCAGGCACCCCTCGCAATGAGACCAGGGTGCCCTGCTCCACCGTCCCCGTCACCACGGAGGTTTCGTACGCCGGCTGCACCAAGACCGTCCTCATGAATCATTGCTCCGGGTCCTGCGGGACATTTGTCATGTGAGTCCCAGGCTGGGAGTGTGCCTGGAGGGGGTGGTGGAGACCCCAGGGAGGCGAGAGGCCAGCGCTGGCCCCGGAAGGTCACCCCTCACTCCGCCCTCCCCCCAGGTACTCGGCCAAGGCCCAGGCCCTGGACCACAGCTGCTCCTGCTGCAAAGAGGAGAAAACCAGCCAGCGTGAGGTGGTCCTGAGCTGCCCCAATGGCGGCTCGCTGACACACACCTACACCCACATCGAGAGCTGCCAGTGCCAGGACACCGTCTGCGGGCTCCCCACCGGCACCTCCCGCCGGGCCCGGCGCTCCCCTAGGCATCTGGGGAGCGGGTGAGCGGGGTGGGCACAGCCCCCTTCACTGCCCTCGACAGCTTTACCTCCCCCGGACCCTCTGAGCCTCCTAAGCTCGGCTTCCTCTCTTCAGATATTTATTGTCTGAGTCTTTGTTCAGTCCTTGCTTTCCAATAATAAACTCAGGGGGACATGCTGTACTGTGTGGTTTAGGTTGGTGCTGCAGGGGTGCGGCTTGGCCACTGTGCATGGCGGAGGCCACCAGGCTCTGCGTGCAGGACACGGGGGCACCACACACACGCCACGCGGTTGGCAAATCCCTTGTACCAAATGCAGAGGGGACGTGGGGGCTGCCTGCCCTCCGCTCCCCATTCTCACCCTGGGCAAAACCCCCACGGGGCTGTCGAAATGTGGTCAGATTCCCTTGTAGGAATCCCCCGGCCCTGAATCTGTGAAAAGAGCCCTGGGTTCCTTCACAGCCATCTCACAGGCTTTCCACGGTTGGTGGGGCCTTTGTGTAGCCCCGAGGGTCAGGTGGCCCTGGGGAGGGTGTGTGTGTGTGTGTGTGTGTGTGTGTGTGTGTGTGTGTAGCCCCGAGGGTCAGGTGGTACTGGGGAGAGTGTGTGCGTGTGTGTGTGTGTGTAGCCCCGAGGGTCAGGTGACCCTGGGGAGGTGATGTGTGTGTGTGTGTGTGTGTGTAGCCCCAAGGGTCAGGTGGCCCTGGGGAGGGTGTCTGTGTGTGTGTGTAGCCCCGAGGGTCAGGTGGCCCTGGGCAGAGGGTGTGTGTGTGTGTGTGTGTGAGTGCATAGCCCCGGGGGTCGGGTGGCCCTGGGGAGGTGGTGTGTGTGTGTGTGCGTGTGTGCGTGCATGCACGTGTGAGAATTTGCTTTGCACACGTGTCTGCATGTGCCATGTGTATGTGATGTGTGTGCACGTGTGTGCATGCATGTGCGTGTGAGCATTTGCTTGTGTGCACACGTGTCTGCATGTGCCATGTATGTGATGTGTGTGTGCACGTGTGTGTGTGCATGAGCGTGTGAGCATTTGCTTGTGTGCACACGTGTCTGCATGTGCCGTGTGTATGTGATGTGTGTGCACGTGTGTGTGTGCATGAGCGTGCTAGCATTTGCTTGTGTGCACATGTGTCTGCATGTGCCATGTGTATGTGAGATGCGCCTTGTCCTGGGTCTCTACACTGGGAAAATGGAGAAGGTCTTAGTCCTCAGGTCACTGTCAGCTCCTGCTGCCTAGTGACAAAAGGTGGCCAGGACCTGGTGGCCCCGTCAGGGCTTTGGGGAGCTGCCAGTCAGAGCCGCCAATACCTTCAAACCTGCAGAAGTTCTGGTTGGCTCTGCGGACCCAGCTGGACAAGGGGCACTGGCTGTGGACCCTGGGCACAGTGCCCACTCATGTTGGAGAGCTGAGCCCCTGACTTCTGGGTGGAGCCCATGGAGGCTGCTTGGCCCAGAGCAGGTGCCTGGTGTCTCCTGTCAAAGGCAGCAGGTGTGTGTGGGGAGGCCGAGGCCTCTAAGCACAGTGATCCAACCTCGAGCATCCTCTGAGGTCAAAGGGGAGGACATTTGTCTCCAGACTACAAGGCTGTGCCACACCCCTTACATGTGACGAAACCCTCAGGAGGGCAGACACCTGGGCTGGGCTCCACACTTCCAAAGCCAGGGCACAACGGGTCCTCAGGGTGTGACAGGTCCTCAGGGCATGACGGATCCTCAGGTGTGATGGGTCCCCTGGGCGTGACGGGTCCTCAGGGTGCAACAGGTCCCACCTCCTGCTGTCCTGCCTCCCAAATAGTTGTACAGGCATGTGGCACCATGATTGGCTAATTTTTAAGAGCTTTTTGCTTTTTGTTCTTATCTTTCAAAACAATCCTTTGTTTTACTAAAGTAACAGGCACGTGATTTTTGCATAGTTTTGTTTGTTTTGCAGAGACAGGGTCTCACTATGTTGCCCAGGCTGGTCTCAAACTCCTTCCTGGGTTCAAGTGATCCTCCCACCTCAGCCACCCAAAGTACCAGGATTACAAGCATGAGCCACTGATCTTGGCTCCTGGCAGGGGGCTGAGGCCACTGCCCTCCCCTAGCTGCCCTCCCCTAGCTGCCCTCTCCCCCATCTGACCCCAGGGAGGGCCGCGGTTGAGCAGCAACCCTGGGGTCTGAAGCCAGTTGGGACATCCCAGCTCATCAGCGCCACCCTGGGTCCTGGAACCCGCTCAGGCCTGGGGTCTTTCAACTGCCCCACTTGGCCCAGGACAGCCCCCCAAAGGACCTGCTCATCCCCTCTGGTGGCCCCAGGAGCCCACACTGTCTAGGCCTAGGGACCTCCTGGGCAGTCAGTTGGCCTGGGCCTGCCATGGAGCCCCTGAGGCCACCCTAGAGCCTCTGGCATAGCCACGTGGGGATTCTGGGTGCTTCAGAACTGGCCCTTCCATGAAGCTGTCAGCATGGACCCCAGAGCCATCCTTGGGTCATTTCGAGGGTGGCCTGTTTCTGGCCCACCCCCAAAACCTATCACATCTCTGCCTGGCTGTGACCCTTGGGCCCAGCAGTCCCTGCACAGGCCAGGAAATGGGCAGGGCGGGGTGGGGGCACTGCGGCCAGAGACCTGGTAAGGAAGAGGTGGTCAGGCTCCCTCCAGTTTCCTCATCTGTCTCCCAGCTTGCAGCTGCGAAGAGGGGCTTCCCCTGGTGATGCAGCGTGGACACGGGTACGGCTAGGCCCCTGCCTGCTCTTCCCTGCTGTGCCCTTTAAAGCAGAGGCTACCCGGGAAGCTCCAGGAGAGCATGAGCCCTGACCCCAGTCCTTCCCCAGACAGCCCTGCCCCTTCCCAGAGCAGGCCCCACCCCTTCCCTAGAGGAGGCCCCGCCCCTTCCCCAGAGCAGGCCCCACCCCTTCCCTAGAGGAGGCCCCGCCCCTTCCCCAGAGCAGGCCCCACCCCTTCCCTAGAGGAGGCCCCGCCCCTTCCCCAGAGCAGGCCCCACCCCTTCCCTAGAGGAGGCCCCACCCCTTCCCCAGAGCAGGCCCCACCCCTTCCCTAGAGGAGGCCCCGCCCCTTCCCCAGAGCAGGCCCCACCCCTTCCCTAGAGGAGGCCCCGCCCCTTCCCCAGAGCAGGCCCCACCCCTTTCCTAGGACAGGCCCCGCCCCTTCTGCCCACTCAGGATCTTCCTTTTGGGTTCTCTGTGTCCAGAACTCCAGTGCAGGTGTTGAGGGTGGGGAGGGAGCTGCCCCTTCAGGTGGAGGCAGGGTTGGTGCCAACGGAGGGGCAGGGAGACGCAGGGGCTCCCCCCAACCCCGTCCAGTCACGGTGCAGCCCCCGACTTTATCCCCAGCGCCCTCCTCTTCCTCGCATAACTCATGCCCCCAGCTGGGTCCTCCTGGGTCTCCCTAGGGGTGACTCGGGCCAGGGGCTACCTGTTTCCCCGGGCTCACCACAGTGGGCTAAGCCTACAGCAGAGGAGATAGGGAGCCCGCCAGCCAGGTGGGCAGCCGGCCACCCCCTCGGAGTAGCTGCACGGGTTGGGGTCAAGTTCTCGCATTCTCTGGAAGAAGCTGGCTGTTCTGTTCCCACGGCGGCCTCCCTGTTTCTGGGAGCAGACGGAAGGCCCCAGCGCGCACTCCTCCCTTCCGCCCAGGTGAGACTTGCTGTTGTTCCGTGGGCTGAAACAGGCCATGCGCCTGGCTGTCGGGTGCTCCGGGCGGCACCAGCAAATGACCACAAACCGGGGGCCGAAAGCCACAGGAAAGCTGTCTCCCACAGTCCCGGAGGCCGGAGTCTGAGGTGCAGGCGTGGCGGTGCCACAAGGCCGCTCAGGCTCCGGGGAAGATGCTTTTGGCCCTTCCAGCTGCAGGTGGCTCTGGGCGTTCCTTGGCTTGCGGCTGCATCGCCCATGCCCTGCCTCCGTCTCCACGGGGCTTCTCCTGGGCGTTTCTCCCTTTGCGTCTCTTCTAAGGACATTGGTCTTTGGATTTAGGGCCCACCTGATAATCCAGGCTGATCTCGTGAGGTCCTCAATCTAATCACATCTGCAAAGACCCTTTTTCTTTTTCTGTTTTTGGAGACAGATTCTCGCTCTGTCACCCAGGCTAGAGTGCAGTGGTGTGATATCGGCTCACTGCAACCTCCGCCTCCCGGGTTCAAGCGGTTCTCCTGTCTCAGCCTCCTGAGTAGCTGGGATTACAGGCGCCCACCACCACACCCAGCTGATTTTGTATTTTTAGTAGAGATGAGATTTCACCATGTTGGCCAGGCTGGTCTCGAACTCCTGACCCCAGGTGATCTGCCCGCCTCGGCCTCCCAAAATGCTGGGATTATAGGGGTGAGCCACTGCACCTGGCCCCGAGTCTTGGTGGTTCACGGCAGCAGGGTTCTGTCTGGTTCATGCTCCGTTTGTGGCTGCGTGGCTGGTGCCCTCCACTACATCCGCTCACTCCAGGGCCTAGGCTGTGGGAGCAGCTATTGCCTCCGTGGTCACGGTGTGGGGACGGGAGACCGAGGGTCTTGTCCATGTCCCAGTCCCCTGAGAGGTTCTGGCTCTGCTCAGACACCGAGTCCCTGGGGCTGCTGTACCACCACCAGGCAGGAGAGGGTGCCAGAGACGTGTGGAGGATTTAAAAACGGAAGGATCTTAGGTGCAGACAGGTGTCTGATGGGAGTCAACAGCGTGTCTCAACTCGCTATTATAAAAAGAGCAAGCCCAGACTAGAAGGAAGCCGTCTTAACCTGTTTAGGAACATCTGCCCAGAAACTACAGCACACATCGAACCCCTCCGCTTGCTGGGACTTGAGAATCACTCCCACAGAAGCCAGCGGACATGGGAGATGTTGGCGATGGCTGTGCCTTCCCTCTATGGGGGTGCTGGAGGCTTCACCAAGTCCGTGAGACAAGAGCAAGAAGAAATGAAGACCAGCATTGGGAAACAAAACTGTCCTGATTTGTTTCATTTTAATTTATTTTTTGTAGAGACAGGGTTTTGCTATGTTGCCCAGACTGGCCTTGAACTCCTGGGCTCAAGTGATCTGCCTGCCTTGACCTCCCAAAGTGCTGGGATTACAGGTGTAAGCCATTGTACCTGGCCTTTATTTCATATAATGTGATTATCAAGATGTAAAAGCCAACTGGCTGGGCACGGTGGCTCACGCCTGTATTCCCAGCATTTTGGGAGGCTGAGGCAGGCAGATCACCTGTGGTTGGGAGTTCAAGACCAGCCAGGCCAACATGGTGAAACCCCATCTCTACTAAAAATACTAAAATTACCCGGGAGGTGGTGGTGGTGGGCACCTGTAATCCCAGGTACTCGGGAGGCTGAGGCAGGAGAATGGCTTGAACCTGGGAGGCGGAGGTTACAGTGAGCCGAGATCACACCATTGCATTCCAGCCTGGGTGACAGAGCAAGACTCTGTCTCAAAAACAAACAAAAACAAACAAACAAACAAAGAAAGAAACATGAAGATGTAAAAACCAAGAGAATTTTTGACTCTATTATTTGAACTAATGAGAGGGTTCAGTAATGTTGGAGACAAGGTTGATGAGGGAAAAAACAATAGCGTATGTTTACACCAGTAGAAACCAAGCTGAAATATAATAGAAAAATACTTCATTAACAGCAGCCTCAAAACCTACGAAGATACCTATGTAGAAAACGTCAGATGGAAGGTGTCCAGGCCACTATAACATTGCAAAGGGCATAAAAGAAGACTTGACTGATGGAGACGTATGCCACGTTCATGAATGAAAAGTGTAAGTTTTGAAAAATGAGATTAATTTTAAAAAGTGAAAAACGAGGTCGATTCTCCGCAAACAGCCTTTCTCAATCCCAGCTGAGTTTTTCGTGGGATTTGGCCGGCTGGTCCAAAGGTCCACGTGGAAGGCCAGAGAGCCAAGCAGAGCTAAGTGAGTTTCAGAGAAGAATCATGTGGGACGCCTGCCTCTAAGACAGCGTGGCATTGGTGCCGGGATAGGCAAGTGGATGCCTGGAACAGCCCATGTGCTTACGATGATGCTTTGAGGTGGGTGGGTGCTCCACATCTACAAGGAAGGAGGGTTGTTCTCTGAGGGTGCTGGGCCGGGCTGTTCCCTGAGTGTGCTGGGCTGGGCTGTCCCCTGAGTGTGCTGGGCTGGGCTGTCCCCTGAGTGTGCTGGGCTGTCCCCTGAGTGTGCTGGGCCGGGGCTTCTCTACATGGGGAAAATTAGGTGCCTGTGTCACGCTCTAAACAAAAATAAAACACCAGGTAGATTAAACAACTCAGATGTGAAAAGCTAAACCTGAAAACATTTAGAAGGAAAACAGGCATAATATTGATGACCTCAGGGTAGGAAAGGGTTTCTTAAGTCACTAAAGTCACAAGCTATCAAAGTAAAGAGAGACGCATTTGACCACATTACATTTTAAAAACTGTGTTTGAAAAAAGACAACATAACTAAGTAAAAATACAAGCCAGGGAGTGGAAGGAGGTCATCTCTGTGCATCCGGCGCTGAGGCCGGAGTCCAGGAGATCTAGCGAACGTCATGGTCAGACAAGCAGCCCAGGGTTGAGGCGGGGGTCACACAGGAGGAGACGCGGACAGGCGGGGGTCACACAGGAGGAAACACGGACAACACAGGGAGTAGCCAGCAGGGAGGCTCGGCCACTGGGACCCCAGGAAGGGCGTGATAATCCTTGAGACCAGCTGAAGGTTCTCACACCTCCAGAGAGAACATGCTGGGGCGTTTAGGGGAGAGCGGTTGGTCAGGGCAGCCAAGCTGAGGACACAGTCCTGCTTCTGGGCACCCAGGGAGCTGCCCACCCGGGAGGATGGAGACTGGAAATGGCCTGCATGCTGGTCCACCAGGAACGGGCTGCTCCTCTGGGCATATTCATCCTCTGGATGGGGCCCAGCACTAAACCGGAACTGCCTGTCTTGACAAGGAGGCATCGCAAACCCAGCATCGAGCAGAAGGAATGAATCGCGGGTCTCTAATCCTGCACCCTGATGCTGTCCGTTTCTGTGAATGTGAAACAGGACCCTAATGCTGGACACTTACAAAAGTAGTAAAATTATAAAATATTTTGAGAGGCACTGGATTCAGGGTCACGGTTGCCTCTGGAGAGGGTTGGAGAGCAGGGAGGGGCACCCACTTCTGCCCGTGATGTTTATTCCTTGATGGAAAACACCTGAGCTAGAGTGGCAGGTCTGATATTAGTTACAGCTGACGGTGAGGAGGTAGTGGTCATGTCCATTCCATTACTCTGTTCTTCATAGGGTTTGAAATCATCCATAACAAAAAAGTCAGAGGGGCCGGGCACGGTGGCTCATGCCTGTAATCCCAGCACTTTGGGAGGCCGAAGCGGGTGGATCACCTGAGGCCAGGGGTTCGAGACCAGCCTGGCCAACATGGCAAAACCCCATCTCTACTAAAAATATAAAAATTAATTAGCTGGGCATGGTGGCACATGCCTGTAATCCCAGCTGCTCGGGAGGCTGAGGCAGAAGGATCACTTGAACCCAGGAGGCGGAGGCTGCAGTGAGCTGAGATTGCGCCACTGCTCTCCAGCTTTCATGACAGACTTTGTCTCCAAAAAAAAAAAAAAGAAAAAAGAAAGATTTAGCACTATTCATTCATTTGAGGAAAAAAGTGGCCGGCGCTGTGGCTCACGCCTGTGATCCCAGCACTTTGGGAGGCTGAGGTGGGTAGATCATGAGGTCAGACCATGAGGTGGGATCAGAAGACCAATACCCCAGGGTTGGCTCCCTAAGACCAGCCTAAACTGGCAGCCCAGGGCTGAGGGCACGGCCAGAGCTGGGGCCCTCGCCCACCCACCACCCACCTGCATGGGGAGGGGCCTTGGGGTGACTGAGCGTGAGAGGGGCTGTGCGGAGGTGGCTGTGATGGTCTCTGGTCCCGCCTCTGGGGCAGGTGGTGCTGACAGGGCAGGATTTGGGCAGCAGGAGTCAGGGGCTCCCAGGGAAGCCTGGAGAGGCTGAGCATGGGGTTGGACCTCAACAGGCACTTTTGGGAAATCTTGTTGGGGGCTGGGGCTGGTGGAGAAGAGTTGGGGTCCTCGTGGGAGGGCAAGGCAGGCCTGCTGGGGCTGGGTAGGGCTGGGGAGGGATGAGAAGGAAGAAGTGTTTCCTTTTGTTTTTTTAAATTATACTTTAAGTTTTAGGGTACATGTGCACAATGTGCAGGTTTGTTACCTATGTATAATGTGCCATGTTGGTGTGCTGCACCCATTAACTCGTCATTTGTATTAGGTATTTCTCCTAATGCTATCCCTCCCCCCTCCCCCACCCCACAACAGGCCCTGGTGTGTGATGTTCCCCTTCCTGTGTCCATGTGTTCTCATTGTTCAGTTCCCACCTATGAGTGAGAACATGTGGTGTTTGGTTTTTTCGTCCTTGCGATAGTTTGCTGAGAATGATGGTTTCCAGCTTCATCCATGTCCCTACAAAGGACATGAACTCATCATTTTTTTATGGCTGCATAGTATTCCATGGTGTATATGTGCCACGTTTTCTTAATCCAGTCTATCATTGTTGGACATTTGGGTTGGTTCCAAGAAGAAGTGTTTCTAGAAGGATCTTCCGGAGGCTGAGAGAAGGAGGGAGTGGGGAGGCTGGTGGGAACTGGGAGGGCAAGGGAAGGTGAGGCGTGGGGGCCAGAGACCCTGGAAGGTCTCCCCAAAGTGGACAGAGTATCTGGAGACCCAGAAGGTGGAGAATACGGTGGGGCCCGGTGGGCTTCAGAGGGCCTGGGAGCTGGGTAGTAGGGGCCCCCCTCGGGCACTCGAGAAAGACCCCTCCATGCTGAGCTCTAGCCATTTATTCCAGTCCAGAGGTACGGGTCTTAGAGCACCCGAGGCCACTCCTGTCCCCAGGTCACTGTGGCTCCTGACCAGCCCTCAGGAGCCGAAGGGCGGGACCCCTCCCCGTACCCCATGTTGGGTGCTGACCAGCCACTGTGTGCGTCATTAGGTAGGGCTGAATTAAAACCCCATAAATCTCATAAATAAATAAGGTGGCTGGGCCAGCCCTGTGTGCAAACACTCAGCATCGGTGTGGCTGCACCCGTTGCTGGGGGAGCCCGGGACCCCCCTCCCCTCCTCGCCCTTGTCCCTGGTCCCTTGCTCTCCTCCCTCCTCCGGAATTCTAGCTCTTTCTCTCCAAACCAGGCGGTGACACCTCTGCGCTCCCAGTGTCCTTTTGAGGCTGAAGGGGGCGGCGTCCCACAGGGCAGGGGCCTGGCCTTGTCTGGGTCTGGGGGCTCAGGACTCTGGGGGCTGTTGCATCTCTGCTTGGACCCAGAGTGGGGTCTGTGCCACCCTGGATGGCGGCTCACAGAGGGCAGGGCTGTGGGGGACAGAACTTGGGCCGTGGAGAGGCCTCAAGAGGAGGTGAGCTTGGGGCATCTCCTGGGCCCATTACAGAGCATGAGGTTGTGTGCTGGGGGCGGCCGGGGCTGAGACTGCACCGTGGGGCAGCCAGGGCTGAGTCCATCACAGAGCATGAGGTTGGGCTGTGGGGGAGGCCGGGGGCGGCCCGGGCTGAGACTATGCGGTGGAGTGGGCTGAGGCTGCACCGTGCTCAGGGCTGGTTTAAGCTCTGGGTCCCTGTCTTGGATTCCGTCATCTTTGGAGGGGCCTCCTTTCCAGTTTGCAGGGGGCCCCATGGGTTCTGCTCTGCAGGGGCTGTGGGAATGGTAGGTGCCCGCCCTGAGCCTGGCTCGGCTGTGATTGAATTTGTTGTGTGGCAGCCGTGTGGGTTACATGAAGGGAGAGGCTGAGGACCCCAACTCGAGGAAATTGCGATCTACGGCATCTATGCCAGATTTCAAGTCAGCGTGTGAAGAGGGTCCGGGGTGTCCGAGGGACCAACTGCAAACCCTCCCCACAGGGACCCTTTGGTGCCCAGATGGGACCCTGGGCCTGTTTCCACCGGCCTGGGGCTGCAGCCTGGGCATGGCCAGGGGCAGAGCATCAGGAAGCCCTGGGAGATAGAGGGCTTGCCCAGGATGGGGTGCAGTGGTGGATCACAGCCCCCTGAAGCCTCCACCTGCTGGGCTCAAGTCACCCTCCCATCTCAGCCTCCCAAATCTCCAGGATTACAGGCATGAGCCACTGCACCTGGCCATGCTGCATTTTTCAATAGAGCAGAAATGTTTTTCTCAGCAGCAAACCACATTTCCAGTGCAACGGGCTCCTGCAATCTCGGGGCCACTGCCAGCCCCGAGGCACTGACCCTCTGCCCTGCGTGTGCTGAGGAGAACGTGTGTCCCTCGCCTGACCCTGCAGAGCCCACATCCTGCAGGACCCCAGGTCCAGAGGACCCACGCTCTGCCACTCCCACCCCTGTCCCGGCCCCTCAGAGCCCCCCCATCACTGTGGTGCTTGCTGCTCTTGGAAAAGTGAGGAGGGTGCAGACGGCAGGGGCCATGTTCTCCTGGGAGGCCCCTCTTGGCTTCTGCTGGTCTGGCTGGAGGCAGGGGCTGTTTGGACCCGGACCCCACCGCTGACACCGCAATTTGACCCTGACCCTTTCTTGACCCTTCTATGGCTCCTGGCATTCTTGGAGGGGCCCAGGCAGTGCCCGGATTCCTCACAGACCAGGCTGACCAGAGCCTTCTGCTAGGCACACCCGCAAACCTTTAACCTCGCTGTAGAGCCCTGGACCCTCCTGGCCTCTCGCTGCCTCACCCTCACTCCTGCTCCTGCTCAGGCGTCTGGGGACAGAGCATGTCCTTGAGGGTGTGGAGGCCAGCAAGGGCTGCACTGCCCTCCCCAT
Organism: Homo sapiens; assembly: GCF_000001405.40. Classification (NCBI taxonomy): domain Eukaryota; kingdom Metazoa; phylum Chordata; class Mammalia; order Primates; family Hominidae; genus Homo; species Homo sapiens. The sequence goes on from NW_015148966.2 coordinate 118,672, forward strand.
GGGCTCTCGACATGGGAGGGGCCCGGGAGACTTGGAAGGGGGTGGCCTGCAGGGATGGGCAGCCCTGGGGCGGTGGGAGGGTGGCGTGTGGCTGGCCACCTGCCAGGAGTGCTGATTGCGGCGGGTGGTAAACTGCGGGTGCCCCTTTGCGGTGCCCGGATACCTGGCGGGGAGCCCTGGGGGCTGCCCATGAACCAGTGCCCACTTTCCTGCCCCTGGCACGGGCTCGGCATGGGACCCAGTGCCCAGTGCCCACTGCCCATTGCACGCCCCCCTCCTGCCCCAACGGCCGGCAGCACTAGTGGCCTGCTTGGCCTCACCTCGCTGTGCAGACGGGGGGTGCCTCAGGGCTGCCCAAAAATCCTGAGTCTGTGGCTCAGTGGAATCTCCAAACCACAGAGGCCAAAGAGGGCGGGGCCCCAGGAGGATGAGCCATGTTGTCAGGAGGGGCCAGTGCACAGAGGATGGCAGCCCCCTGGTCCCTGTCACGGAGTCCGCGCCCCTGCCTGTGCTGTCACTGCCTGCTTGAGTCCCGGAGAGCCATTCACATCCGTGCCTTGCACCCGTGTCCTCCACACCCAGGCCGGGTCCTGGTGCACCCCGGGGTCCCGGAGAGCTGTTCACATCCGTGCCTTGCACCCGTGTCCTCCACTCCCAGGCCAGGTCCTCGTGTACCCCAGGGTTGGAGGGACAAGGAAGAAGGCGTTCACACTGTGACCTCCCCTGGGGCTGCCAGCACCGGAGGGTCTTAGGCCTGGCTTGAGGACGGCCCCATCCCCACCCCGTCCTCCTGGGCCTTGCCAGCATCACTGGGTGGTCGTGGTGCCCCACTCCTGTGTGGGCCCAGAAGTGACCTACGAGTCCCACTCAGCGCGGCACCCTGGCAGCCTGGCATGGAAGGTTGTGGGTCAGGAGTGTCCCCTGCTGCCCTGGGAGCCCCCACCCGCCCAGGCTGGTGGCGGCTGCTCAGGGGTGACCTGCAGGCAGGACAAGAGCCGAGGCTGCAGGGCAGCCTGTGTGTTGTCTTTGAGAGTCGGTTAGAGCCGCCCCAGCTGCCCCAGCCTCCTCTACCTCCCTCTTGGCCCAGGCAGCAGCCTCGGCTGCAGAGACGTCTGGTCAACCCGAGGAGGGCCTGGGATGTGGCCTTGGTTGAGTCAATGTTTCCCTCTCTCCCCCGAGGGGCTGGCCTCTCCTCCCTGGGGCGTGTTCCCATGCTCCAGTCCAGATGAGCCGTGTCTGTTTTCCCAGGGAGACGAGAGAATATCTTTTCCTTTTCTTTGAATAAATGTGCCCATTGCTGGCACCTGTGCCAAGCGGTTCCCAGGCCCGAGAACCCTGCCAGGCTGTGGTCCTGACCGCCCCAGGGAACCTGGAAGTGCCTGCACCTGGAGCTGGGAGAGATCCTGGATTAGCCCCCGAGGGCAGGCACGCAATGCCGGGGTCAGCCAGGGGAAGCAGCTGTCCACAGCTCCACAGGCTGCATGCCAACCACGGCTGCATGGCTGGGACCTTCTCACCCGCCAGGGCCTCTCCACCAAGCAGCGCCTGCCTGGCCACCCCTGGACAGCCCCTGGGTTGGTCAGCGGGCTCCAGGCAGGCCAGCAGGGTCTGCCCACACCACCCAGTGAGCGCTCTTGGAGGGGATGGGGGGCCTGGCACACAGTCAGGCTCAATGAACATTTGGAGAAAGAAGGAATGAAGGGTCCCCCCCCACAGGCAGCTGGATGGGGGTCCGCTGTGGCCCAGCACCATGTGCCCAGCCCTCTCCCCCTGGCCACCGTGAGGCCACCTCTTCTGTGGTGGATGGCGGCCTGGGCTGTGAGCCCTGCGTCAGCCGTGGACCCACCCTCCCTCTCTTTCCTTCCTCTCTCTCTATCTCTCTCCATCATTTCTCTCCCTCCCTCTTTCCTTCTCTTGCTTTCTTTCTCTTTTCCCTTCTATCTCTTTTTTCTTTTTCTCTCCCTTGTACCCTCCCTCTTCCCTCCTTCCTCCTGATTCCCTCCTTCCTCCCTCTTCCCTCTCTCTCTCCCTCCTTCTTCCTTCCCCCTCCCCCTTCCTTCCTCCCTCCGTCTTTCCTTCCTTCCCTCCTTTTTCTCTCTCCCTCCCTCTGCCTCCTCTGTTTCTCTCACTCCCTCTGCCTCCTCTCTCTCTCTCTCTTCCTCCTCTCTCTGTCTCTCTCTCCCTCTGCCTCTTGTCTCTGTCTCTTTCCCTCCTTCTGCCTCCTCTCTCTGTCTCTCTCCCTCCCTCTGCCTCCTCTCTCTGTCTCTCCTTCCATTAGTACATCATATGGGATGCAATGCTGGCTGAAGGCATGTGGGACAATTTTTTAGACTGTCCTTTTTCTCAATCCCTCCATAACATTCAGGCCACAGAGGCTTTGGTCCTGTCCTTGCTGTGTCCAGCATCACCTGCAGTAAAATCCAGCCTCAGTCCCCCTTTAGGACATGCGGGGACAGAGCTCCGTGGAACCCCAGCATGACATGCTGTTCACCTCTTTAACGCTGCACCTTTTCATACTGTTAAAATGGCAATCAGATTTCCAATGTATGAACTTTGAGGAATATATTCACACCATAACATGCCTCTCTGTCCTTTGGGCCTTCTCAGACCTGTTCTGTCCACCTAGTGCAGGTGCTGTCAGCTTCAGCCTCCTCCTCAGAGACCAGACATGTCCTACAATCTGGGGTCCCTTGTCTGGCCAGAGGGAGGGACGTCAGGATGGGACAGGTACTCCAAGAGTTCTGACTTAAACAGCCCAGGAGGTGGTTCCTTGGGGTGTGGAAAGAGAGCAGGGGTGGTTCAGGAGATAGCCCGTGGCTATTGTTCATGTGGGGTCTGAATTCAGGCTGCTCACATCTGGTTCTGCCCAAGACTTAGCTTCTCAACATCTGCACCAGGAATAGAGGACCCACCTGCCCCAGGGAGAGATGACTGACCTGCCCCAGGGCCAGAGGATGCACCTGCCTGAGGACAGAGGGGTGTGAGTCCTGCCCTCTGCTCATAGGCAACCCTGGAGCATGGGCTCAAGCCTTCTGAGACTTGGTGGGGGCATGGGATTTACTCCCAGGCAGGGCTCACCTGGACCAGGGCCCTCCACTGCCCCTGGTGCTGAACTCAACCCCACCCCTGAATACTGCCGTGGGGTTGTCTATGAACATCTCCCCCAGCTCTCAGTGAGCTCCCTGAGGGCAAGACCTGTTCCAGCCCCATGAAGGCCCCATACATGTTGTGGAATGAATAAATATGAGTGAATGAGTAAGTGAATATGAATATCAATAATACAGTTGAACATGTATGAATGAATGAAGAGAAATATGTGAATGTAGATGGATGGGAATGAATGGATGGGAATGAGTGGATGAGTGAGTGAACAGGAATGAGTGGATGGGAATGAGTGGATGGGACTGAATGGATGGGGATAAGTGAATAAGGATGAGGGGATGTGAATGTAGATGGATGGGAATGAGCACATGAATGAGTGAACAGGAATGCATGGATGGGAATGAGTGGATGGGAATGTAGATGGATGGGAATGTAGATGGATGGGAACGAGTGGATGGGAATGAGTTGATGGGAATGAGTGGATGGGAACGAGTGGATGGAAACGAGTGAATGGGAATGTAGATGGATGGGAATGAGTGGATGGGAACGAGTGAATGGGAATGTAGATGGATGGGAACGAGTGGATGGGAACAAGTGAATGGGAATGTAGATGGATGGGAATGAGTGAATGGGAATGAGTGGATGGAAATGTAGATGGATGGGAATGAGTGGATGGGAATATAGATGGATAGGAATGAGTGGATGGGAATGTAGATGGATGGGAATGAGTGGATGGGAATATAGATGGATGGGAATGAGCGGATGGGAATGTAGATGGATAGGAATGTAGACGGATGGGAATGAGTGGATGGGAATGAGTGGATGGGAATGTAGATGGTTGGGAATGAGTGGATGGGAATGTAGATGGATGGGAATGAGTGGATGGGAATGAGTGATGGGAATGTAGATGGTTGGAATGGATGGGAATGATGGATGGTGTGATGGATGGGAATGTATGGAATGAGTGGATGGGAATGAGTGGATGGGAATGAGTGGGTGGGAATGTAGATGGATGGGAATGAGTGGGTGGAAATGTAGATGGATGGGAATGAGTGGATGGAATGAGTGGATGGTGATGGATGGGAATGAGTGGATGGGAATGCGGATGGGAATGTAGGTGGATGGGAATGAGTGGATGGGAATGTGTGGATGGGAATGTAGATGGATGGGATGGATGTGGATGGGAATGTAGATGGGAATGAGTGGATGGGAATGAGTGGATGGATGGATGAATAGATGGGAATGAGTGGATGGGAATGAGTGGATGGATGGATGAAATGAATAGTGGGAATGAGTGGATGGGAATGTAGATGATTGGGAATGAATAGATGGGAATGAGTGATGGGAATGTAGATGGATGGAATGAGTGATGGGGATGGGGATGTAGATGATGGATGGGAATGAGCGGATGGGAATGTAGATGGATGGGAATGAGATGGATGGGAATGAGTGGATGGGAATGAGTGGATGGGAATGAGCGGATGCATGAATGAATGAAGATGACTCAATGAATGAACAAACAAACAACAGTCTCCCACAGTGGCCTGTGGTGTGAGCCCTGCTGCCAGCCATGGAAACTGAGGCAGAGAGGCTCCTGGCTCAGCCCTGCCCAGCCTGTCCAGCCCCTGTGATGTTGGACCCTCCGGTGCAGACCCACCAGTCATCTGCAGTGACGGGTGGCAGTGGACGTGGGCTGAGTCGCGGCGGACTGAGTCCTGGTGGCCACTGCTTGATTTCATTGCTGGGCAGTGCTCCCGTGCAGGGTGTATTTGTCCACTCCCCCTTGGGGTGCAGGGGCTGTGCCTTCGGTGCCTGTGGCTTCAGTGCCTGTGCCCGGGAGAGGGCTCATTCCCCATGTTGGCTCCTGTGGGCCCCTGAGCCCTAGTATTCAGTTCATTGGCTGCTGTGTGTCTACCGGGGCCGCCATAATGAATGCCCACAACAGGTGGCTTGAAAACATGGGAAATGTATCCTCTCACCGTTCAGGAGGGCAGAAGTCCCAGTTCTGGGAGGCAGAAGTGTTGATTCCCACTGGAGGCTTGGAGTACCTCTGACACACATACCCGGCCTTTCCCTATGGGGACACACATGGATGGTGGACGACACCACCCAGATCGTCCAAGAAGATTTCATCTGAGATCCACATTATACCTTCTGCCAGCAAGGCAGCCCTCCCAGGTCCCAGGGTTCAGGGTTTGGGCTTATCTTTTGGGGGCCACCCTAATCCTCCTATAGTCCCAGAGGCCTGATGGGACTCACAGCTCAGCCTAAATGGTCCCCTGGGACAGATGGACGGGCAGTCCAGCAGCCAGGCAGGATGGGAGGGAGGTCCACCCGTGCTGGAGAGCTCGGACCCCTGGGCCAGCCAGGGCCTGTGCGAGGCCCATGCACAGACAGGAGCTGCTTGGGAAGTCGTGGTCCTAACCCCTGATGCTGACACGCAACGTCTCCAGATGCCCTGGTGGTGGGGAGACATCAGTCCCTCCCAGCTGGTCAGCCTGCGGACTACTGAGCTGGACACCGTGAGGAGCCATCTGACTCGACGGAGGAAGCCCTCATGGGGGCGTGGGATGCTCTGGGGCCTCTGCACTGCCCCCACCCCCCCGCACCCTGAAAACGACGTCTGTGTGTGGTGCAGCTAGCGTGGACCATGTCCCACGGAGGGCCCACCCCTACCAGGTCCGTCTTCTGGCATGGCCATGGCTGGGCCTTCCGCCTCACCCGCTCTGGGAGGGAGCCCTGGCCTGCGCTGGAACACTCGGCCTCCTCCGTGAGGGGGTTTGTGCTCGGACAACATGAAGGCAGACGGATGCCTAGCACAGCTGGCTTGGTAAACAGAGAATGTGCCGTTTACTCCCACATCCGCAGAGTAAATCCCCACGGGCAGTGCGCCGGGTGCTGGGGACCGGCAGTCTCCACTTTGGGGAGAGGCAGAGCAACAACGCCTGACCCCAGGAGTTTGGAGCTGCACCCTGGTCTGTGTGCGTAAGGCTCCTTGGCTGCACCCCACGCTGGGTGAGGGCACTGGGCTGGAGATGGGGCAGGTGGGCGACTGTCCCGGTGGCCCTCCAGCGCGGTCCCCAAACCGGGCCTTTCCCACCACCCGGGGAGGACGCTGCTTATGGCCAGGCATCTTGGGCAGCCCCAGTGCACAAAGTCAGGGCTCCTGGTGGCCCGGGCAGGCTCTGTGCATGGTGGGACCACCTTAGCCTTGCCTCTTGCAAAGCAGCGCCCAGCCCCCACCCTGCCCTCTTGTTGGCTTTTCTGGGAGGCCTGTGGGGGGCCTTTCCAGTGCCCTGGTGCCGCCCCTGAGCTCTGGGTCACTGCCCAGAGGCGTCTGAAGCAGACACCTGCCCCTGCCTCCCTGAGCCCACGCTACCCGCTCTGTATCCTATCTAGAACTTTCACGAGCCGACATTGTCCTGTGTGCCAGCTCACTGTCCCCACGGAACAGCCATGCCACGAGGGTGGGGTCCCTTTTGTTTGGGGGGCAGAGCTCAAGCTTTTGGATCTGCTTCAAGCCCAGAGCCACCCGTCAGCTGAAATACTGAAAGGAGGAAGGGGTGAGAGGAGGAAGGACTACGGGGTGGACAGGGCTCTCAGCAGGCACCCCTGCCCCACTTCACAGCAGCCCTGCGGCCGGGGACGGACTTTGGCAGGGCTGGTGGCAGCTGGGTCAATCTGGGCTTTTGGGAGGCTCTGGTTCTGTGGACCCTCTAGGGCTTGTCCCCCCGCCTGTGACCTGAGGTCTCCTGAGCTCTGCATCTCAGTCTGCTCTCGAGTTAAATGGGGACAGTATCACATGCTACAGAAGGCCTGTGGCAAAACGCTGTCTGTAGAGACCCCAGCACAGCTGCAGCTCAGAAACAGCCACCGTTGTGAAGAAGATGCGTAAGAGTCAGTTGATCATGACTACTAGCCTTTCCTTGAAGCCTGTGTGTACAGGTAAAACTGCTGTGTAGCACACACACACACACACACACACACACACACACACACACACCCACGAAAAGCACGCAGCCAACTGAGCCCAGGTCTGACGCTGTCTGTCCTGACTCTAGGACACACCCGGGTTCCTGACATTCACAGTGAACCTGTGAGCTCTGGAGCCAACGAGAGACGTTATTGGCCAACGCACTGCCCTGGGGCCGGGTCGCTGGGGGGACCCAGGTAGGAGGCAGGGCTGGGGGAGCAGAAAGGCAGGGATGGGGATGGACGTGGCTGATGCTGTGACCTCAGCCAGGACAGTCCCCGAGTGGAGGAGGAGGCTGGGCCCCCCTAAGGCCGCTCTTCCCCAGCCTCCTGCCCCCCGGCCCAGGTCTTATCACCCTCACCCAGCCCCGGCCTCCCCTCTCGACCCCCAATCTGTTCCCACCTCCGTTGGAGGAGGCTCCTGAGGTGGGTGCCCCTCTAGCCTGCCTGCCCCTGTCCAGGCCCTGAGGGCTCCAGAGGGGGGCCGAGGCCTGGGGGTCCCGACCTCCATGTGCCTCCCGTGTCCCCCGCTGCAGCCCCACACGCACCCCACTGTCCAGCCACACAGGCCGTCTGAGGCTGGGGGCCCAGAGGCAGACTGCCCCAGATATGTGGGCAGGGGTCAGCGGGGCTCTCAGGACACCAGCTGGGGGTGAGGGGAGCATGGAGGGAGCGTGGGACAGGCTGAGCTGCCGAGGGAGCCACCCTGGAGCTCTGGAGCCGGGAGGCCTTGGGAGACATCCCAGGCTGGGTTCTGTCCCCCGATGTGGCAGGCGTTGCACGCAGGCTCGCTGTGGCCTTGGGCGAGGTGGCTTTCTGGGGAGGGCAGTTCCCAGGGAAGGAGGGCCGAGCCCTCGGCAGCCAACACTCGGGTGGCTTGGGACGAAGGCCTCGGTCCTGGTGGGGCCTGGGCGACGCCCCCAGTGCCCACCACGCAGGCCTATGGTTGGTCACGGAGGTGGCCTTCTCCTCCTACCCACTGTCTCTACCTCAGCTTCCAGCAGGTGCCCAGTGCTCACGCCGGCCTCGAGCCTGGACTGGGGGCTGCACCTGCCCCAACACTCTCAATGTGTGGCTGGGGAGTCTGAGGCCCAGAGGCACCCAGCCCATCCCCCCACAGAGCAGGCCTCAGACCTGCTGCCCTGCTGTCTGGCCGAGAGCACCACCCGGGGTGGAGCGGCCGGTGAGCTGAGCCCGGGTCATAAGCCAGGCAGGGGAGCAGGCTTCCTGGGATCCGCCGACCCCGTCCAGCTGCTGCAGGGCCCCATGCCTGCCACAGGATGCCCCTGAGCCTGGGGCATGGCTGTTGCCCTGCAGGGGAGGCCATCTACTGGTGCAGCTGTCCTGCAGCTGGACATGGCTTTGAGATGACCTCTGCAGGGTGGGGTGCAGGGAAAGGCCATCGAAACCTGAGACCCAACACAGGGGAAGGTGGGGAAGGCTGCGGGGCCCAGCTGCACAGCGGGCTGGGACGCAGAGCCAGCCTCCCACCCTGGGCCTGTCCCCTGATCTCCGCCCAGTGTGGACTCCTTTTGGGCACAGCTGAGACCAACCCAGCAGATAAGCGGATTAGCATGGTGCATGCCCCCAGGGTGCACAACTGGCTTTATCAGGGCCCGGATGTTGTCTCAGGTGGAGCTGGGCAGGCTTAGGTGAGGTGGGTGTTCCCAGGTCAGATACGCTCTGCCCAGCTCTCACCCCTCAGCCGGCGCAGGGCCAGGGGCCTGGATCAGGGGTTCGCTCCAGCTGCCTGCTATCTGGCTGCCCGTGGCGGGCTCGGGGCAAGGGTGTGCAGGAGAGCCGGGTCTTGGTGGCTTTGTGCTCCTACCCTGGGTTTCAAAGGCGCTGCCTCCCTTGTTCCTTGTTCATTCACAAAATCCGTGAGCGCCCCAGCATGTGGGACACAGATGAAGGGGCCGGGGGAGGGTTGCCACTGGGCCAGGGCACCGGGAGTGTCCCCACGTGCCATTCGGCCGAGTCCTTGGCAGGGGGAAGCCCTGCTCAGAAACGGAGAAACTGAGTCTTGGGACATTTGCTGTCTCGCTCACTGTCAGAGCCCCCTCCATCCCAAGACAGGCCTGGGCACCTGACAACCGTGCAGGACCGTGACATAAAATATGCCAGGAAATCGGGTGGAGGAAACTCAGACGTGAGGGAATCAGGCTGGCAGAGCCGGGTGGGGAGAGGGTGCTGGCACAGGCAGGGACGCTCTAGGTGCTGGTTTTAGGGGCAGGGCTGCCTGGGAAGCCACCTGAGATGAGAGGGAGAGAGGCCAGGGGGACTTGAAGAAGCCCAGGGTGCTGGGAGAACCTGGGGGCCAAGCAGAGGAGGTGCCTGGGGGCCAGGCCAGGTGGGCACAGACCCACAGCTACCCGGGCCCTCCTCATCTGCCCCACCCCAGAGCCCACCTGCATCCGCCACAGCTGGCCTGGCTTTCTGCCCGACACCTGCCAGGTCAGGGGGCCCCTGCTGGAAGCCACACCCCACTCTGCCCACCTCCCACCTCCTCACTCCCCCTGCCTGAGCTCCTGCCAGCCCTCACGGCGCCCTCCTAACCTCCACTCATCAGAGCCCTGCCCTGTGCCCCAGACTCGGCTGGAGGCACCCCCAGGAAGCCCCTGTGGGAAGCAAGTCCTGGTGTCGGTCCTCACCCCACCCCTCAGGGAGCCACAGGCCCAGCTCCTGGGTGTGTCCCTCTGGGTGGGGGCCTGGGGTCACAGGCTGGCCTGGAGCCATGGAGACAGGGGAGCTGCCTGGCTGTGGGGGAAAGGCAAACACCCTTTTGTCTGTGGCCGCCTCTTCTGCTCGGGGAACTCTGGGGACAAAGCCGGTGGGCCAAGGAGCCCCCGCTGTCTAGACAGCCCTGCCCCACGAGGCAGGCAGGGGAGGGGGCGCCCTGAGCAAACAAGCAGGTACCAGGCGTCCTGAGACTGCGGGGCCAGGCCAGGGTGGGCGAGCGACGAGGCCCGCGGGAGTGGGAGGGGGCGCGGGATGCTGTCCTTAGGGACCCTGGGCCCCAGCCGGGGTTTCTCCCTGGTCTCTCTCCTTCCTTTCTGCTGGCCACCACCTCCAGGAAGCCAGCTGGACCTGACCCTGCCTCCTGAGGGCTCTAGGAACCCACCTCCCAGGTCCAGCCATGCACCAGCCTGTCCTCGTGACCCTCACTGGCCTCAGGGATCCCCCAGTAAGGGGGCAGCGGTGGGGACTCACCTGTGGGGCTTGAGTGAGCCATGCCCAAGACAAGAGGCAGAGCCAGGAGGTGCAGGTGACGCTATGGTCCCCAGCTGCGTGGCGGCTCTCTCCAGGTGTGTGGGCCTCCTGGTCCCTTCGTGGTGTCTGGTGTCACCATGCACAGCTCAGACCCCTGCTGCAGTCCCCAGGGATCCACAGCCGCACCTGCCCTTTCCTCTTGCTTCTCACTGCGCCCCAGCCCCCTGGCGGCTGCTCACCAGCCTTCATGTCCTCACTGACGCCTGCCCTGCACCGGGACCACCCTGTGTTCCCCAGCTGTGCCCAGACCTGATGGAAATTCTCAGCAGCCCAGGCCAGACCCACCTTCCCGCTCTCCTGCCAGCTCTGAACGTTGGGCCCCTGGCACTGTTATTCACATCTTACTCCATCAGTTCCCAGCCCAGCCCCAGCCCCTGCCCCTTCAGATGCAAACCCTGTGAGGGCCAGAGCCTCCCTGGTGTCCTCACCTTCCCACCCATACACTCAGCTCTCCATTTATTCAGGATTAATTCAGCTGTTTGGGGAATAAAGATGTGAAAAAGTTACCATCTTTAACAATCCCCTTGACTGACTTCAGAATAGTGTTCCCTTTCATCCCCTCTGTCCACCTGGGAATGCTTCTGATGCTGCCTGCATTATCAGGAGGGGAAGAGGCCCAGCCAGTCTGCAGTGAACATGCCGTGAAAGCCTGGACTCAACATTTGCTATTTGAAGTTACAGACAGACTTTTAAGTACCTGACTGGATATACCATGTGAACATGCCGTGAAAGCCTGGACTCAACATTTGCTATTTGAAGTTACAGACAGACTTTTAAGTACCTGACTGTATATACCATCCAACCTGGGACCCGGGGATGGGAGAGCCCACGCCCCTGACTGGAGAGTTCCAGAGGCCTGGAAAGAACACCCACAGTAGAAAACCCGCGGAAGAGGGGCCTAGCAAAAGATTCATTAGGTATTATTATTATTATTTTGAGATGGAGTCTCGCTCTGTTGCCCAGGCTGGAGTGCAGTGGCTTGATCTCAGCTCACTGCAAGCTCTACCTCCCGAGTTCACGCCATTCGCCTGCCTCAGCCTCCTGAGTAGCTGGGACTACAGGCGCCTGCCACCACACCTGGCTATTTTTTGTATTTTCTTATAGAGATAGGATTTTGCTATGTTGCCGAGGCTGGTCTCAAACTCCTGGCCTTAAGGGATCTGCCCACCTTGGCCTCCCAAAGTGCTGGGATTACAGGCATGAGCCACCATGCCTGGCCTTCATTAGATATTATTATTATTATTTTTTTAAAAAGTTTCTCCTGAAAGGCAGAGAGAACACATAGTTTTATTTAAAAAATACATTAGAAACAAGTATATTTAGAAAATATATGCTTTTATTATTTATGAATTTAAAAAAACGACTCAATGAAACAAAAAGTGAAAGACGAATAAAAAAGGTAACAGACTGAGAGGAGAGAATCAGCCTGAGGCAGAGATGAGGGGGAACTAGATAATGTAAAGAAACCACGATGGGAGAGTTAATATCTGTACTCAAAACAGTAAAACGGCAAGTAACAAAAAACACCATGTAAAATTGAGTAAGTAATGTGGAAGACAATTAAAGTTCTTTGAGAATAGGAGGGAAAGAACAGAGAGATTAAACTGGTGTGAAAGGCTCCTTCAGTGTTTGGGGACTAGCTCATATCAGAATAACATGCTTGCCCTTCATAATCATAAACTCAAGATGAAATAGAAATGACACCTGTTTTGAAGACTGGTGAGTGGCTGGGCATGGTGGCTCATTCATGTAATCCCAGCACTTTGGGAGGCTGAGGCAGGTGGATCACCTGAGGTCAGGAGTTCGAGACCAGCCTGGCCAACATGGTGAAACCCCATCTGTACTAAAAATACAAAAATTAGCTGGGTGTGGTGGCGCACACCTGTAGTCCCAGCTACTAGGGAGGCTGAGGCACCAGAGTCACATGAACCCAGGAGGCAGAGGTTGCAGTGAGCTGAGATCGCACCACTGCACTCCAATCTGGACAACAGAGTGAGCCTCAGTCACACATACATACACACACACACACACACACACACAACCCAAAACAACAAAAAACCACTGGTGAGAAATCAGAGGCAGGCAGCATCAGAGGGGATGCAAGCCTGGAAAAGGGAAATAAGTGAGGTACGATCCCCATTCAGCTGACTTTCCACTGGAGGGAGCTTCCCTGTTTACAGGAATGTGAGGGAGAGGGTGCCAGCTGACTACAGCTCCTGAGCTGGGCTGAGAAGACTGAGGTCCAAGCTTAAGGTCTCCAGAGGCTGGAAATTAGGAAGGATGTTACAGGAAGAATAGATCCACAAATTTTTGACTGAGTTAAAAGTCACATATAGGATGAGACCTTAAACATCTGAGTGAAAGGAAACAGCTGGAAGGCTGAAAGATAGGGGCATGGGGTCACAGAGTTTGGAGTTCGAGTTGGCCCAGCTAGACCTCCTGGAGAAACACCTTGCTTCCCATTACGACTCTGTAAGAACTGTATGTTAGGAGCAAGGACCATCTGCTAGGACTAAATGCTGTGCCCCAGGAACAAGGGCTAAACTGAAAGAGACCCAGATAATAAAGCCTGAGAAGAATCCTCCTCAGGATCAAGTTGATCCACCAAAAATTTAACCACCTGCTAAACAAAACTTAGCATTCTCCTTCGGAAGATCACAGAATCTAAAGTCTCCACAGTGTATCATACACAATGCACAGTGTACAATAAAAATTACCACAGAGGACAATATAGCCCACAATCAAAGGAACAAACCAACCATCAGAAGCATATCCACAGAGGCCCATATGTTGAAATTAGGAGATAAGTATTTTAAATTAACCATTATAAAAATGTGACATAACATACATTGGAAAATGAATATAATGGAAAAGAGGTGGGGAATGTCAGGAGAGAGATGGAAACTCTAAAACAGAACCAAATGAAAATCTTGAAACTGAAAACAAACAACACAACCAAATATCTGAAATGAAATAGTCATTGAATTGGTTTAACAGAAGCTGGGAAACTACAGAGGAAAAGATCAAGAAACTTGAAGAGAGGTTGATAGAAACAATCCACACTGAAGAACAGACAAAACAGTTTTTTGAAAAAGTCTCAGTGACTGGTGGGATGATATTAAGTTGTCTGAGGAAGGAGAAGAAAGAGAAAAGGGGGTAAAAAATATTAAAGAAAAAATAGCCAAATGTTTTAAAATTTGACTAAAAACATCAACTCTGAATTCCAAGAAGCAAATCTTCAGTGCAATAAATATGAAGAAAACTACACTTACGCATGTAATAGTCAAACTACTGAAAAGAAAAGGTAAAAGAAAATCTTTAAAGCATCCAGGAAGAAAAAGACATAGCACACAGAGGGAATAAATGATAAAATGGTAGCTATAAATGCAGTCATATCAAAATTTAAATTAATGTAAGTGGACTATACACTCCAATTAAAAGACAGACTTTTAGACTGAATCAATGAGCAAGACCCAAAGATATGCTGCTTACAAGAGACATGTTGTGACTATAGACACAGATAAGGTTAAAAGTGAAAGGATGGAAAAATGTATGTCATGCAAGCAGTAATGATAATAAAGCTAGAGTGGTTACATCAATATCAGACAAAGTAGATGTCAAGACAAGGAATATTACCGAGATAAAAGGACATTTTATAATTATAGAAATGACAATTCATTGAGAAAGCACAATATTACTGTGTATACATCTAATAACAAAGCTTCAAAGTATACAAAGCAAAAATAGACAAAACTTAAGGGTGAAACAGGCACAGATTTTAACATCATTTTCTTGATCATTGATAAAGCAAATAAACACTCAGGAAGGCTGTTAGAAGTTCTGAAACCACTATCAACCAACTTGAGCTAATTGACATTTATGGAACCCTAGTCAATGACTGTAGAATACACCATTCTTCAAAAGACCACATGGATTGCTCACCGAAATGGAACAGTGCTGGGCTATAAAACAAGTCTCAATAAACTTCTAAGGATTGAAATAATCAACATATGTTCTCTCACTAAAATACAAATTAGTTAAAAGCAGTAATGATAAGATATTAAGAAAAACCTCAAATATTTAAAAATCAAGAAGCACAATGCATTCCAAACAACCTATGGGTCAAAAAAGTCACATAAGAATTACAACCAACTTCTCATAGAAACAAAGGTGGCCAGAAGATGCCAGAAAGACATCTTTATAGTGTTGAAAGAAAAAAAAAAAAGCCTGTCAGTCAACACTAAAATTTAGGTCTACAGGAAGGAATGAGGAGCACTAGAAATAACAAATATGAGGGTAAGTACAAGTAAAATGTTCTTTTTTAAAAACTTTCTTTAAGGGACTGTTTAAAGCAAAAAATTAATTGTGGAAGTTTATAACACATGGAGTAATTAAAAACATCACACCAAATAGCACCAACAATGGAGAAAAAATGAAATTAGACTGTTCAAAGGTTCATATATATACATATATATACACATATATATACATATATACATATATACACATATATACATATATACACATATACACATATATACATATATACATATATACACATATATACATATATACATATATACACATATATATACATATATACATATATATATACACATATATATATACATATATATATACATATATAATTTTTTTTTTTTTGAGACAGTCTCACTTACTCTGTCACCCAGGCTGGAGTGCAGTGGTGCGATCTTGGCTCACTGCAACCTCCACCTCCTGGGTTCCAGCAATTCTCCTGCCTCAGCCTCCCAAGTAGCTGGGAGTACAGATCTGTGCCACCACGCCTGGCTAATTTTTATATTTTTAGTAGAGATGGGGTTTCACCATGTTGGCCAGGCTGGTCTCGAACTCCTGAACTCAAGTGATCCACATGCCTTGGCCTCCCAAAGTGCTGAGATTACAGGTGTGAGACACTGCACCCGGCCAGGTTCTTACATTTTACGTGATGTGATATAATATTAATTCAAGATAGACTGATAAGGATGCATACTATAACTTTCAGAGAAACTACTAAAAATATAATGATATCTAGATAAAAAGCAAATAGAAGTATTAAAACTGAATATTGAAAATACTTAACTGACCATACTAAGTGTTGGCAAGAATGTGGCACAGCCGGAGCTCTCAGACAGTGCAGACAAGACATAATGTGGTACAATCACTTTGGAAGGCTGCTTGAAAGTTTCTTATGAAATTAAACACATGCTTAGCATAGGACTCAGCAATTCTACTCCTAGACATTTACTCAAAAGAAATGAAAACGTGTGCTTACAAAAAGACTCGCACAAAAATGTTCCTGGCAGCATTATTCGTAACTGTAAAAGACTGGGAAAGGCTCAGGTATTCCTCAAGAGGTGTATGGAATAAATACATTGTGGTATAGCCATATGATGGAATACTATCCAGCAATAACAAGAAACAGTGAAAACACACCACAACATGGGTAAATCTCAAAAACATGATGTGTGAAAAAGGCCAGACACAGAAGAGTTAATATTTTATGACTCCATTTGTCTGAAGTTCCATAATAGACCAAACTAATGTACAGTGACAAGACTCAGACCCATAGTTGCCTGGGTCAGGAATAAGAGTGGGGCCAGGCATGGTGGCTCAGGCCTGTAATCCCAGCACTTTGGGAGGCCAAGGTGGGCAGATCACCTGAGGTCAGGAGTTTGAGACCAGCCTGGCCAACATGGCAAAACCCCATCTCTACTAAAAATACACAAAAAAGTAGCCAGGTGTGGTCGTGGGCACCTCTAGTCCCAGCTACTCAGGAGGCTGAGCCAGGAGAATCACTTGAACCCAAGAGGTGGAGGTTGCAGTGAGCCAAGATGATGCCACTGCACTCCAGCCTGAGCGACAGAGCGAGACTCCATCTTAAAAAACAAAACAAACAAAAAAGAGTAGGGTTGACTGGAAAGGGGCATGAAACTCTTTGGGTGATGGGAACATTTTCTGGCTTGATCGCGGTCATGGTTCCATGGGTGTATACGTTTGCCAACACTCATTGAATACCATCATCCCTTGGCATCTGTTGGGGATTGGTTCCAGGACCTCCTGGAATACCTAGACAGTATTTGCATAAAAACTGTGCACACCGTCCTGTGTACAGTTGGCCCTTGAACAACATGGGGGCCAAGAGTGCCAGCCCCTCATGCAGGTGAAAATCCAAGTATAACTTTTGATTTCCCCCAAACTTAACTACTAATAGCCTCCTGTTGGCTGGAAACCTTACTAACAACATAAACAGTTGGTTAACACATATTTTGTCTGTTATATGTATCATAGACTGTATTCTTATAATAAAGTAAGCTAGAGGAAAGAAAATGTTATTATGAAAATCATAAGGAAGAGAAAATATATTGACTATGTATAAAGTGGAAGTGGGTCATCCCAAACGTCTTCATCCTGGTTGTCTTCTTGTTGAGTAGGCTGAGGAGGAGGAGAAGGAGGAGGAGGGGTTGGTTTCAAAGGTGGCAGAGGTGGAAGAGATGGAGGAGGTGGAAGGGGAGTCGGGAGAGGCAGGCACACTTGGTGCAACTTTCGTGGAAAAAACTCCATGCATAAGAGGACACACACAGTTACAACCCCTGTCATTCAAGGGTTGACTGCACTGTAAGTCATCGCTGGATTACTCATAACACCAAAGACAACACCCACACACCCCTTCATTCCCGTGGATTCAGCGTGGAGCTCGGCTGTGTGACCTCAACGTGTGACCTCAGTGGCAGATTCAGGTTTTGCTTTTTTGGAACATTGTGACTTTTTTTTTCCTGAATATTTTTGATCAGCCGTTGGTTGAGTCAACAGATGCAGAAGCCACAGACATGCATGGCTGGCTGTATTAACTTAAAATGAATTCATCTTAAGCCAGGCATGGCTTATGCCTGTAATCCCAGCACTTCGGGATAATAAGTGCTGGGATTACAGCACTTATTATAAGCCAGGCTCATGCCTGTAATCCCAGCACTTCGGGAGGCTGAGATGGGTGGATCACTTGAGGTCACGAGTTCAAGACCAGCCTGGTGACCATGGCGAAACCCCGTTTCCAATAAAAATACAAAAATTAGCCAGGCGTGGTGGCGCGTGCCTGTAGTCCCAGCTACTCAGGAGGCTGAGGCAGGAGAATCACTTGAACCTGGGAGGCAGAGGTTGCAGTGAGCTGAGATTATGCCACTGCATTCCAGCCTCATGACAGAGCGAGACTCCATCTCAAAAAAAAAAAAAAAAAGAGTTGATTTTATTATGGGTAAATTATATCTCAACAAATTTTATTTCAAAAGAAAACAAGAATATCGATTCACTGAAAGGAAAGCAGGCAAAGAAGATCGAAGGAACAAAGAATGCATGGGTTACACATAAAGCAAAGTGCAAGACGGTGGGCTGAACTTGCCCTACCTGTAAAACAGCAATATTGAAGCGATGATAAAATAAAACATGTCTGAGTCAAAGCAAGACTTCATTTATTCGGCTAGTTGAGAGTCTCTCACGTGTCATTCATCAAGGTGCACAAAACCAGACAAGATCCTTCTTGTCAGTGGGATAAGAGTTTAGTGGGATCATAATATTTCAGTTGTATAATCTCATCAATCAATGGGTAACTGCAGAAGGGAACACATTTCTGTGGGGAAATTCAATACGGGGAGCTGAGCGGGGTGTAGGCAGGGGAGATGGCCTTGCACGGGGTGGCTGGGGGAGGCGGGGGTGGCTGGGGGAGGGAGGGGGTAGCTGGGGGAGGCGGGGGTGGTGGGAGGAGGCGGGGTGCTCAGACAGAAGCAGCTGCAGGGAAGCCCTGGGGTGGGGGAACAGGCCCTGGAAAACTGCTAAGGCAATCAATTAGAAAGAATATTTCCCATGCATTTTTCCTGCAAACAGAAAGGACTGGAAGACATACATCAGCCCATCAAGATACAATCTCAGCAAAAAACCACAAAAGCGGCAGACAAAACCAAACCTCAAGAAAGGCAAAGTTGTACATTCAGAAGGTCTGGAATGACTGGGTTTAGGGGTCATCCCGGCCATTTGCTGCAATGGCTGCCACAGATTGCAAAGAGCACAGTCAATTCTTGGAGGAGGACAAGGGGAGGTGTCATGTTTACAATCCAGAGTGCACAGCCCAGAACTGAGACCTGGAAAGGAGGGGCCAGCAGGAGGAAGGGAAGGGGTAGTGACGTCTCTTCCACACGCACAAGCAAATCAGGGTCACTCATAGAAACACAGATCCCAGGGTTAAAAGGATGACCTCTATAGTCATGAAAACAGAGTGAAGACCTGCAAGAGGAAACGGCAAAGGGAGCACAAACCCGGCTGCACAAGAACAGACCGGAGAAAGGTCAGGACTCTCAGGCCAGGGACTGAGGAGCCAGCGATAAGCCATGGCAGTAAAGGCTGACTGAATGCCCCTATGAAAAGGAGGCTGGAGATGGGGCTGAAAAGAAAAGAGCACGCCCACAGCCTCACTGCACGTTGTTTGAAAGAGACACAGCTAAAACGAATGCCCCAGCAAAGTTAAAATCGAAAGGCAACATGGCCGGGCACAGTGGCTCACGCCTGTAATTCCAGCACTTTGGGAGGCCAAGGTGGGTTTGAGGTCAGGAGTTTGCGACCAGCCCGGCCAACATGGTGAAACCCCGTCTCTACTAAAAATACAAGAATTAGCCGGGCGTGGTGGCGCGTGCCTATAATCCCAGCTACTCGGGCAGGAGAATTGCTTGAACCTGGGAGGTGGAGGTTGCAGTGAGCTGAGATTGCAGTGAGCTGAGTGCCACTGCACTCCAGCCTGGGTGACAAGAGCACAACTCCATCAACAACAACAACAACAAAAAGCAACAGGATATGAGACAAAAGCCAGCAGAGGCAGAGCTGTGGCCGTAGTATTAATAAATCGAAAGGCGGGGTTAAGATATGAACACCGAACACGACAAAGAGGATCAGTTTGAGTTTATAGAAGAAGCAGAAGAAACAATGGTGATTTATTTTGATTTTTACTCATTAAAAAACATAGTGCTGCTGCTCCCAGATGATGGCATAGCTCTTCTTTTCCCTGTCTTCCTCCTAAGTACAAAGAAGAATCCTGAATATTAGACATGAAAGAAATGTAGGAAGGCTCCGGAAGGTGGAGAGGAGAGGGCAGACCAGTCGGGGACCTCGGGCCCCAGGAAAGACCCATTGCAAGTTCCCTGGGTTTTGCTTTTGCCTCATGGATCCCAGGCCTGGAGCTGGAGAAGCTGGCAGTGTGGACACTTCAACACATGTACACCAAAAAAAGGCCCCACCAGTCCCCGCCTCCTGGAGCCAGCGTGATCAGGAAAGTAGCTGCCCGGCAAAGCAGAAGGCTTTTAGGTGATAACTGCCCTGCTCCAGCTGAACACCACGGAAAACCTGCACTCCACTGGAGCAAAGTCTGGGCAGGGCTGGGCAGGGCTGGGCACCCACCCTGGTGGCTGGAATGAGGCGCCCCAGGTGGCCCCAGGGCTGGTGTCCAAGTGGGCACAGCAGGAGGCTGGGGTCATCCCAGTGGGTGGTTCTGAACCGCTTTCTCTGTGACCAGTGATGGGGATGGTGGAGACCACACGGGGTTAGGGAGCTTGGATTTCCACCCCATCCCTGGTGTTGAAACACTCCTCCTCTTCCCCATGAGGAGTGTCAGAGGAGGCTGAGCCGAGAGTCATGACTTTGACCACTGCTCAGTGTAACAGGGCCCCCTCCATCATGCCCGTGGAGGGAATGAGAGCAGCAACGAGGCGCCATGCCCCTCCCAGCCAGAAGGCATCGGTGAGGGCTCCACCCTGCCCGGCAGGCATGGACAAAACCCCTGGGGTGTTAAGAGAGGGCCGGTGGGGAATGAGCACTTCCACACCACAAGCTGCCCCTTCCCTTCATTAATCTGTGCCAGAGGAAGTCAACGAGAAAGGTTTAAATAAGATCCAGAGTCTCGTAGCAATCTCCAAAATGCCCAGGTTTCAATAACAAATTGCTCATCATCCCAAGACCCAGGAAGATCTCAGACTGAATTCAAAAGGACAATCAGCAGAGGCTGACCCTGAGACAAAGAGGTGTTAGAATGATCTGGAAAGGGTTTTTGAGAAGCCCATAAAGTGCTTCATTTGTGAACAAATTGAAACCAATTTAAAAATAGAAAGTCTCAACAGATAATAGAAAATCCCAGCACAGAAACAGAACACACAAAGACGAACTGAATGGAAATGGTAGAACTGAAAATTACAATAATTGAAGAGATAAAAAACAAAAACAAGACTTCAATGAATGGGCTCAACACAGAGTAGAGGGAGAGTCCAGTGAGAGGAAGAAACAGTGAGCAGGGAGGTACAATAATAGACGTTATCAGACCCATCAGCGAAGAGAAAACAGACTGAACAGGATGAGAGAAACACACAGAGCCTCAGGAACCATAGGGCTAGAACAAGAGACCCAGCATTCCAGGTGTTGGGGTCATGGGAGGAGAGAAAGAGGATGGGGATGGAAAAGAGCTCAAAGACCTAAGGTTGAAAACTCCCCAAACTTGCCAAAACACCCACAGATTCAAGAAGCTCGATGAACCCCTAACAGGATAAACCCAAGAAAATCCACAGCAAAACATCTCGTAGTCAAACTTTTGAAAACTATAAAAACAAAAAATTTTGGAAGTAGCAGGAGAGAAACAACATTTTACATATAAGGGAAAGACAGTTTGAGTGGCATTTGATTCCTCATCAGAAACCCCAAAGGCCAAAAAGAGCACAACATTTTTCAAATGCTGACAGAAAGGAACTGTCAGCCCAGAATGCTATATTCAGTGAAAGTATCCCCGAAGAAGGAAGAGGAAGTTAAGGCATTTTCAGATGAAGGAAAAGTAAGAGAAATTTCCACCAGAAGATGTACCCTGAAAGCTTCAAAATAGTTGAACCAAATCTGATAAAACTGAAAGGAGAAATGCACCCATTTCTAATTATAGCTAGAGACATCAACACCCCTGTCTAAACAATTAATAGAACAACTAGGCAGAAAATCAACAAAGATGTGGAAAAACTTAACACCATCAACCAACAGGACCAACATTTGTAGAGCTCCACCCAACCACAGAACACACATTCTTTTCAAATGTGCACGGAACACATTCCAGGAGAGGCCGTGTCCTGGGCCTGAACACAAACTTTAGCACATTTCACATACTGACATCACACTCCAGCATGTTCTCTGACAACAATGACATCAAATTAGAAATGAACAACAGAAAGTTAACAGGAAAATCTCCAAACATTCAGAAACTAGAGAACAGACCTCCAAATAATCTGTGGGCCAATGAGGAAGTCTCAAGGGAAGTTTTAAAAAACAACAACATTGAACTCAATGAAAACGAAAATGCAACATATCAAAAATTGAGGGACATAGCCAGGCATGGAGACATGCAACTGGGGTCCCAGCTTCTCAGGAGGTTGAGGTGGGAGCATCACTAGAGGCTAGGAGTTTGAATCTAGCCTGGGCAACATAGCAAGACCCTATCTCTGAAAAATAAAAATAAAAAAAATTAGAGAGATACAGTCAAAGCAGTGCTGAGGGAAATTTGTAGCAGTAACAGAACACACTAGAAAAAAGGATGAGTCAAGTCAGTAATCTATGCCACCCACTGAAGAAATGAGAAAAAGAAGCACAGGTTGCACACAGAGCAAACTGAAGGAAGGAAAGAGTAAAGACCTCAGTGAAACCGAAAGCAGGGAGACAGTGGCAGAAAGAAAAATACCAATAACACGGACAAGGCTCTAGCATTACAGCAAGAAACAAGAGCAAAGACACAAATGACCAAGGACAGGACTAAAACAGGAGCAATCACTACAGACCCTGCAGATATCATGAGGGTGACAAGGGGCTGTGGCACACAACTCTGCACACAGAACTTTGGCACCTTAGATGAAATATGCCAGTTCCTCAAAAAGCACAAGTGATCACAACTCAGCTAACACAAATAGATAACTGGGCAGCCCAATAAATGGTTGAGAACATTGAATTTATAATTTTAAACTCCAAAAGAAGAAATTCCGGGCTCAGATGAGTTCAGCGGTGAATTCTGTAAAAACTTTAAAGAAGAATTAACACCAATCATACATAATTCTTCCAGAATGTAGAAGAGGAGGGCGTCTGTATGACCCAGATACTGAAATCATACAGGCAGGAGAAAAACAAAGCAAATCCAAACCAGAACTATGGACCAACACCCCTCATGAAGATGGATACAGACTCTAACAAAATAACAGCAAAGAGAATTCAGTGCTATATGGAGCATTATCCATCTTAACCAAGAGGGATCTATTCCAGAAATGCAAGGTGGCCAGGTCAATATTTAAAAAATTAATGCAACCAGCCATATTAACAGGCCAAAGAAGAAAAATTGCACAAGCCTATCAATCAGAGCAGCAAAAACATTTGAAAAGACTCAACATTCATTCTTATAAATTCTCAAAAAATAAGAATACAGGGAATTTCCTCAATGAGATAGAGAACAGCTACAAAAAAAGGAAACCAAAAAGCAAAAACCACTCCTGCTAACATTGTACCTAATGGTGAAGGCTGAGTTCTTCCTGTCTGACACTGGGAGCACGGTGAGGGTGTCCCCTCTCATCGCTCTTATTCAACGTACTGCTGGGAGTTCTGCCAGTGCAATAAAGCAAGAAAAGGAAATAAAAGGCAATTCGTTTGGAAGAAATAAAGCCGTCCCTATTTTTAAGTGACATGATTGTCTATATAGAAAATTCCAAAGATACTGAAATTTAAAAAAATCCAAGACTAATGTCTGTGCAGAAAGGTCAAAGGATACAGGATAAACACACAACAATGAATAGTATTTCTATTTAGTAGCAATGACCATGACTTCATCGACTTTAAAAATATACCACCATTCTCAATCACGCAAATAACTTGAAACATGTAGGCGTAAATCTAACCAAACGTGGAGGACTTGTGTGCTTAAAACTACAAAATGCCGATGAAAGAAATCTTTCTTTTTTTTCATTTAGAATCCATTTTTATTCCCACAAACAGTTCTGAAAAATATTAGAATTGGCAAATGGTTTACCATGAATGGAAAAAAAAAACCCATTGATTTTCCTTTTTTCTTTTTTTTTGCTTAAATAATTTTATTATTTTTATTTTATTTTTCCATAAGTTACTGGGTTGTATTTGGGTATATGAGTAAGTTCTTTAGTGGTGATTTGTGAGATTTTGGTGCACCCATTACCTGAGCAGTATACACTGCACCATATTTTTTGTCTTTTATCCCTCACCCCCTCCCACTCTTCCCCCCAAGTCCCCAAAGTCCATTATATCATTCTTATGCCTTTGCATCCTCATAGCTTAGCTCCCGCATATCAGTGAGAACATATGATGTTTGGTTTTCCATTCCTGAGTGACTTCACTTAGAATAATAGTCTCCAATCTCATCCAGGTCACTGCAAAAGCTGTTAATTCATTCCATTTTATGACTGAGTAGTATTCCATCAGATCTATATCTATATGTATATCTATACCTATATCTATATCTATATACCATCACAGAGCAGGTAAACCTGTAGGGGTGCAAAACAGATATGTGGTGGCTGGAGACTGGGAGAGGGGACGGGGTTGGCTGTACAGGGCACGGGGGACCTCGTGGGGTGACCGAGCGACTGTCTCTGAGTGTGGTGATGGTTACCTGACTGTGTGTTCATCACAGCTCCCAGAACTGTAACCCTAACAGGAGTGGATCTTACTGTATGCAAATTATATCTTAATAAAAAATGAAAGATATATGTAAAGTTGATGTCGGAAAAAGTGCAGAGAAATTTTAAAAAGTTCAGTTATAGTATCTTACTCCATGACAGATAGAGTAGGCAAGAGGTGGAGAGAAGATTTGAATTATGTAATTAATAAGATTTATTTACACATTTATTTCAAACTTTGTTCTCTAATACAGATAATACTCCTTCATCTTAGGCATCCATAGAATAGTTACAAAAATTAATCTTTTTTACATGTATTTTTTATTTTCAAGGTATAATTTGCATACAGTAAAATTCACTCTTGTTAGTGTGTAATTCTGTCCAATTTGTTGTCTACGGAATTGGCTGCAGTTTTCTCTGGGGCCTAATGTGAGATTAATTTTTGTGGCTATGGTCTCTAACAAAATACAACTGAAAATTGATAACAAACATGTGAATAAGACAAAAGAGGCTGGGCACAGTGGTTCACGCCTGTAATCCCAGCACTTCGGGAGGCCGAGGCGGGCGGATCACGAGGTCAGGAGATCGAGACCATCCTGGCTAACACGGTGAAACCCTGTCTCTACTAAAAATACAAAAAATTAGGTGGGCGCGGTGGTGGGCGCCTGTAGTCCCAGCTACTCGGGAGGCTGAGGAAGGAGAATGGCATGAACTCGGGAGGCAGAGGTTGCAGTGAGCCGAGATCGGGCCACTGCACTCCAGCCTGGGCGACAGAGCGAGACTCCGTCTCAAAAAAAAAAAAAAAAAAAAAGACAAACAGCCTAAGCGGCTGGGGGTGGACACGGCAGGGCTGTCTCTGGCCTCTTTCCTGTCTCTGGCGTCTCTCCTCTCCCCTCCCCTGGACCCTCCTTATTCTGCAAAACGGGCCATGGGCACTTTCTGGGAAACGTCACTTTGCTCAAACCGTGTTTGCAGATCCAGGACCCCTTAAGAGATGTTACTTTGCATAAAGTGTTTGCCACTTAGGTTTTCCCTAAGGGATGTTATGTGTTTAAGCTGCCATTAAGGTGCAGAGTGGTAAACCTGTTACAGTCACGTGTGGTCCGCAATTGCCACCAAGACCATCCTGGCTGTGTGGAGCCGGGCTGCTGCCGTGGCAAAGGATCACAGCCCTGTGGCTGAGCACAGCACGCTCACGCCGTGCGGTCCGGGGGTGCCAAGTCTCCAGGGAGCTCGCAGGACTGCGTTCCTTCCAGAGGCTCCAGGGGAGGGTTCACGTCCTCGCCTCTTCCCGCTCTGGAGGCCGCGTCTCTTCCCCGGCGGACCGTCCTCTACCTGCAGAGCCATCGGGAGCCTCTGCTCTCCCCGACTGCCTCCCTCTCCTCCCGCTGTCTCTGTCTGCCTGACCTCTTTCTCTGACCCTCTTGCTTCTTTCACAAGAGCCCTTGTGGTTACTTCGGGCCCATCCAGATAATCCAGGACAACCTCCCCACCCAAGGCCCATCACTCTGTCCACCAGGTCCCTTCCCCCATGGCTCCAGGGTTTAGAATGCGGGCATCTCTGGGGCCATCATTCAGGCTAATGCTGTCAGTATATTAAAAACTGCATTTCTATATGCTAGCAACAAACTAGTAGAAAAGAGCATCAAAAAACTGCTACTGCCTAGAAATAAATTTAACAAAATGTCCCCATGACCTCTACACTAAAAACTGCAAAGAATTGCAGAAATTCAAAAGGACCAAAATATGTGGAGATGTATTAATATAGTTGAAGACTCAATATTGTTAAAATGTCATTTTCCTCCAAACTGATCGGTAAATTCAATCCCAATAAAAAATCCAGTTTTTTTTGGGTGGACATTGACAAGCGCCTTCTAAAATTTATACGGCCATGGAAAAGACCTGGGATAGCCATGACGATCTTGACGAAGCAGAAAAAAACATTTCCAAGACTTAGAATGAAGCTCTTAGTCGAGACGGAGTGACATTGATATAAACTTAGACATTCAGATTAATGAGACGAACTGAGAGCACAGAAATAGGCTGTCACCTGTACCGGGCAAACACACCGAGGAAAACCAAGAGTGCCAGTGTGTGTGTGTGTGTGTGTGTGTGTGTGTGTTCACAGGGTTATGTGTCTGTATGTGTATGTATTTGTAGGCTTGTGTATGTGTTTCTGTGTTTGTGTGTTTGCAGGGTTCTATATGTGTTTGCATGTGTGTGTATGCAGGTTGTGAGTATGTGCTTGCGTGTTTGTGTGTTTGAATGGTTGCATGTGTTTGCATGTGCGTGTGTTTGCAGGGTTCTGTGTGTGCACATCTGCTTGTTTGCATGTGTGTTTGCAGGGTTGTGTCTCTGTTTGCATGTGTGTGTGTTTGTGTATGTATTTGCAGGGTTGTGTGTGTGTCTGTTTGCATGTGTGTGTTTGCAGAGTTATGTATGTGTGTTTCCATGTTTGTGTGTTTGCAAGGTTCTGTGTGTGTTTGCATGTATGTGTATGCAGGTGTGTGTGGGCTTGTGTGTTTGCATGGTTGTGTGCGTGTTTGTGTGTGTGCTTGCATGTTGTGTGTGCTTTGTGTGTGTGCTTGCATGGTGTGTGTGCTTGATGTGTGTGTGCGCTTGTGTGTGTGTGTTTGCATGGTACGTGTGTGTGCTTGTGTGTGTGTTTGCATGGTATGTGTGTGTGCTTGCATAGTGTGTGTGTGCTTGCATTGTGTGTGTGTGCTTTGTGTGTGTGCTTACATGGTGTGTGTGTGCTTTGTGTGTGTGCTTGCATGGTGTGTGTGTGTGTTTGCATGGTGTGTATGTGCGTGTGTGTGTGTTTGCATGGCATGTGTGTGTGCTTGTGTGTGTGTGCTTGCATGGTGTGTGTGTGCCTGTGTGTGTGTGCTTGCGTGGTGTGTGTGTGTTTGCATGGCGTGTGTGTGTGCTTGTGTGTGTGTGCTTGCATGGCGTGTGTGTGTTTGCATGGTGTGTGTGTGCTTGCATGGCGTGTGTGCTTGTGTGTGTGTGCTTGCATGGTGTGTGTGTGTGTTTGCATGGTGTGTGTGCGCTTGTGTGTGTGTGTTTGCATGGTGTGTGTGTGCTTGCATGGTGTGTGTGTGCTTGTGTGTGTGTGTTTGCATGGTGTGTGTGCTTGTGTGTGTGTGTTTGCATGGTGTGTGTGTGTTTGTGTGTGTGTGTTTGCATGGAGTGTGTGTGTGTTTGCATGGTGTGTGTGTGTTTGCATGGTGTGTGTGCGCTTGTGTGTGTTGTTTGCATGGAGTGTGTGTGTGTTTGCATGGTGTGTGTGTGTGGACTGCTACTGCTGCCATGTCGCTGCAGTTCAATGGGTTTGTGCGTTGTGATCACACGGTCCTGCCCACAGAGCTGAATGGGCTATTGGGGTTTCCTTGGGTGAGTCCCAGGCTGTGTGTGGGGTGAGTGTGGGGCCTTTCTTGCACCGTTTAGCCTGGCACGCGTTGCCCTCTCTCTCTCTCCCAGGACCACATTCAGGTGCCAGGGCCTTTAATCCTGTGTCCCTTGTCCTACTTACTCCCTCTCCCCAGACTGTGGGACAGGCACCTGGGGCGCACTGTGGGGGCTCTGAGATGCAGGTGGGTGGGCCAGGCCTGCCGAGGGGAGGTGAGGCGAGCAGAGCCCTTTGAGGGTGATGGAGCTTGGCTGGCCCCATGGCCCGAACCCACCTGGCCTAGGGGCGTGGCTCAGAGCAGGTGCACACAGGGCTTATTCACCTGTGCATTCTTCAAACAGTCCAGGTGTGAGTGTGAGGCTGTGAACACACCGGGGGTGTGTCTGCCAGGTGGGGCCCTGGACGGGGTGGCCCCCAGCACCTCTGGGTTTCCAGCCCCCAAAAGTGGGTGTCTCTGGGCCCACCTGCTCCTGGAGCTGGGCTCGCACTGACCCTGGGAAGACAGCCTCCCCTGGGCATTTTGGGGACGCTGGGCCCAGCCCATGCCTCGTGGCTCAGCTTCCCTCAGCCAATACTTTCGAGACATGTATTTCGAGACATCCCTGGAGACATGGCCAGTATATTTGTATTTTATATGAACCCGGAAGGCTGGACCTGAAGAGGCCCCCTGGGTGAGGGGGCCAGGCTGAGCTCGAGTTCCCCAGGGCCTCCAGCAAGAAAGGCACCCAATGCCTCCTTACAGGAGGAGCAGGCGCATGTCCACAGAAGATCTGAAAAGACCCCATCAAAATATTCGTGGGTGTCTTCTCAAGACGAGGGGGGCAATTTTCGCTTTACATTTTGTTCCAATTTTTTATTGTTGTAAAAAACACATAACATAAAGTTGACGTTTTTTGCCACTGCTGGGTGCACAGTGCAGTGCTGTTAGGACATTCACACTGCCGTGCGGCCCGCAGAGCCACCATCTCCAGAACATCTTCGTCTTGCAGAACTGAAGCTCTGTCTTGTTAAACACCAGGTCCCCACTCCCCGTGCCCAGCCCCTGCCCAGCCCTGGCGGCCACCATCTGCTTTCTGTGTGTGTGGATTTGGCGGCCCCAGCCGCTGGTGTAGTGGAACCACGTGGCGTTTGCCCTTCCGTGGATGGCTTGTCTCTCCAAGCCAATGTCCTTGGATCCGCCTACACTGCCGCCTATGCCAGGGCCTCCTTCCTTTTGGGGGCTGCTTGGTGCTCCCCGGCACAATGGGCCTCACCTTGTTTTCCCCCAGATTCGTGGACAGACACCAGGCTGCTTCCACCTCTTGGCTGTGGTCAACAAGACTGCTGACCCTGCTTTCAATTCTTTGTGATTTTGCACTGAGAAAAATACCTTTTAAATGCACGGTCAGAATTTGGTGGACGACACCCCACCCTGCGTATGCATTTGGTGGACGCCCCACCCTGCGCATGCATTTGGTGGACGCCCCACCCTGCGTATGCATTTGGTGGATGACGCCCCACCCTGTGTTGATGCCCCTCTGTCCTCCCAGGGGTCAGAGGTGCTAACCTGTGCCCCAATGCCCTGGTTGGTCTGGGCCCCTGGAAACCACAGCGAGGGCAGCACGCTCTGGCTGGTCCTCTCCCCGAGGCCGACCCGGATGGGGATCCATGGTGCACATGGCCTGGCAGGGCCCCCCATCAGGGAGGGGCAGCATGTGCACAGTGGAGCAGGGGGGCAGGGGACTAGCCGGCAGCATCCCCTGACTCTCATGGGCCTTTGGGGCTACCAAGGTCAGGGGAGGGGCCCAGGAAACTGGCTGGGCGATGGACTGAAGGGGATCTGGGGTCCACAGATCTGCCCCAGAATCTGTGATCCCCTGAGTCTCCAGCCCCAAATTACTCACAGGTGCATGTGCACTCAGGGGCCCTGCTGAAGGTGCCTGGGGTTCAGGAGATGTGAGGGCAATAGGGGAACCAGAGGCATGGGGGCCGAGGGGTGGGGGGAGGGGGATGAGGAGGCCGGGGCTCCCAGGAGCTGAACTGGACCCAGGCACAGGGGAGCCCCCAGCATGGAGCATCGCCACCCGCCCGCCCGCCCGGGAAGATGAAGATGGAAGCAGGTGCAGATGAACGGCTCTGCCACATGGGAGGCCCATGGAGCCGACAGCCACTCCTGGGGGTCAGTGTGGCCCTTGCTGTGGACACGGGTGCAAGGAACTGATGCTTTGGCCAGAACCGTGGGCCTTGGGGGCCAGAGCTCCAGTAGCCCAGGCCACATCTTGGGAGGAATTCTGTTTGTCCAGTGATTCAGAGAAAATAAATAAACGTAGGAAGGCTCCAGATCACGCAGCCCTGCCACAAAATCAAATTTACTCTGCCCCCTCCCTGCCCAGAGGGCCCAGCAGGGTCTCAGCTCCCTCTGGGCAAGGGCCACCCAACCCCGCCATGGGTACGTCCGCCACAGCTCTCCCTCGGGCCCCCTGGTAAAGTCGGGAAGAAATTTAAGCCTCCTTCCTCCTTATTGTGTAAGTTCCTGGCTTGGTAAAAATCTGCCGCCGAAGCCTGCTCTTTCTGTCAACAGCCGCTGATAATTCATGTGTCAGTTTCCCAGTCCCACCCAGGGTGCCTCCCCTTCCAAAGCCGGAGCGTATCCTGGTCCCAGCGCTGAGAAACTCTATTGTCTTTCTGTGAAATCATTCTCCAATTCCCACACGAAGCCCTAATCAGGCTTCCTGATTCTGCCACGTCCCCCAGAACATGGGCTGTCAGAGGCCCGGCCAGGGGCTGTCCTGGACCCCACGGCCCACCCCGGCCTTGGCGAGACTGAGGGTCACAGGTGCTAAGCTACCATCATTTTCTGAACCACCAGGCATGAGAGAGGCTATGTTCAGAGCATGGAAGTGGCAGAAATGGCAGAACATGGTGGCTCCACCCCGTTTTGTGGATGAGGACACAGGCACTTTGCAGGCCCCCAGTGGTCCCAAGTCTAGGAGGAGGGTGGGGCGGGCTGGCACTGAGCTCACCTCTGGACCCAGCATGCCTGGGCACTGTGGAGATGCATGGCTGGGTTCCTCCTAGGGGACCTAGCATGCCTGGACGCTGTGGGGGTGCATGGCTGGGTTCCTCCTAGGGCAGCAGGGCTCTGAGCAGCGGGCTTTAAATGAGCCATTTAACAGATGGTACAGGAGGGTAATGCACGGGCTCAGGGCCCCACAGCGGGAGCTGCTGGAGTCCTACGCCACCCCCCGCCTGGAAGGGAAGATGTCTGCTCCACAGAGCCCTGGGGTCTCCTGTGGGCAGGGTGTGTGGAGCTGCCCTCCCCTGGTCTCCCCAGGACAGACCCCCACCCTCCACCCCAGGTGCCTTAGGGTAGGCGTGGCCTCCCCAGGTCCTGCCAGCCAGAGCCAGGCTGACCCCAGCGGCCCTGCAGGTCACCTCCTAGGGGCTGTGCCCGGAAACTGGGATGGAAGCGACAGGCTGGGGGCAGAGTGTGAGCCCAGCCCAGGGCTTGCGATGTTGAAACCAGTGCTTCCCTCCCCTGCTCACCTGGCCAGTAACCACCGGGCTGGGGTGTCCTGGCTGGGCTCAGGCCGGGCTGGGGGCCTCTCCTGATGCTGCTGGAGGGCAGACTGGGCCAGGTGCCCCCAACAGTGTGCGCTCGGCCTGGTGGGGCTGAGAAACCTGGAACATACACACCTGTGGGGGTGTCTAAGGGGCTCCCAGGGAGTTCTGGGGGGTCCTGGGGAGCAGGACCCTCTTCACTCCCTCCTCCAGGGGAAGTGGCCCTGGGGCACCCCAGGCTGTTCCCCCAGCTCTGTGGGGCCGAAGCCATCCACAGGGGGCTTTCCCCACCGGATGTGGTGCGGGCCGTGGTTAATCTCACTTGAGTTAGTCACCCAGGACAAACAGCTAACCGACACAATTCCTCCCAAGTCCAGGGGGCCGGAGGCGGGGTCAGCACCTGGCGGCAGGAGACAGTGCTGCCCTGGGATGTGGCCGGGCCTCCCTCCATTCCCAATCCTGTTGTCTCTGTGGCAATACCTGGCTGGGAGCTCCTATCAGGCCCGTGACCCCCGCCCTTTCTCCAGTGCCCTCCTGTCTGCATTCACCTGTCAGATCCCGGGGAGAGAGGGGCACTGGCGGCCGCCCAGGACCAGAGCTGTGGGGCCTCCCGCACCAGAGTGCAGTGAAGGTTTGTGGGCTGCGGTCCCGGCGGAGCCCACGTGCCACCCCCATGCACAGCTTTCCTCCTGCACATCCCACAGAAGCAAAAGCTCCCACCTGCCCGGCACTGTCCCCGCCCTGGGGACCCTCCTGCAAACACTTTCCAGATGACAGGCAGCTGCTGGTCCCAGGCACACACCTTCCCTGAAGGTGCCTCTCACCTGAGGGTGCAGGTTCAAGTCAGGAGGGTGGACTCCTGCCCGGTGGGGTCATCACCCTTCTCAGGGGCTGAGGCAGGGTCTGCTTTAGGGGTTGCGCCTGCTTTTCAGACACCGGCCCCCAGGCCCCTGCTGCAGCCCCACCCGGACCGCATGCGCAGCCGTGCCCGCTAAGTGGTCGGCGCTGCGGGCAGGGTGGCCGGGGCATCAGGGTTCCGAGATGCAAGTGCTGGGCTTGGCTACCACGGGGGGTCGGGAGCTCACGGGGGAAGAGTGATCCTGATTTTGAGGCCAAGTCGCTGGTCTTACACCTGTCCTGGCTGCCGGTCTCAGAGCTGACACCGGCCCCAGGCTGGGGGAAGGTATCCAGCCGGCCTGGCCAGGGCCCCTGCTGGGAGGCAGCAGGAGGAGTTATTGTGCTGGATGGGGGTTGGGAGCTGAGGGGACTGGAGATGGCATGGAGCCCTCCGGTGGGTGGGACTCCCGGGCATATGCTGAGAGCTTTAGGCCTCAGGGAGGGTTCCCAGGAGGCAGGTGGCTGCGCCACGGCTCGGCCAGCCCTGCCTGCACCCTCTGAGAGCCCCCAGCAAGGCTGCAGTGACCACCTCAGATTCCCCTCTGAGGCCTGTGGCGTGGCCGGGACCTCACTGCCCCTGGGGACACACAGAAAATGCCCACAGGGCTCAGAAACAAGGCCCAGTGGGTTTTCTGGAAAGTTCTGGGTGTGTGGAGCCTGGGGCTGTAGGCTCTGGAACTGTAGGCACTGGCTTCAGGCCTCCTGAGGCCTCGGCCTGGTGGGGTTTTCATGGGACCAGGTGGTCAGCCCGTGGCCCATGCCCAGGGGTTTTGGGTGCCTGAGCCCAGGCCCCAAGAGGAAGCCCAGCACAGCCAGGGGTCACCAACACTGGTGGGGGGAAGTCACCCCAGCTGGACCCCAGCAGCGGCCCTGGGTGACGTCTGGCTGAGGGAGGAGAAAGCTGTGGCTGGGGCGGCAAGGCCTGGGTGGCCAGTTGGCCAGGTGCCCCGGGGCTTGGCCCAGCCTCAGACACGCAGGGGGCACTCCCCTCTGAGGGCCACGCTGGTGACTCAGACTGTTCAGAGGTCACGGTATGGACTGGGCCAGTGACTCAGGCCTGTCCTCTGTTGGGGGCTGGACACTGACTCACCCACTGCCTCCTGTCTATCTGAGGGCGTAAGGAGGGCAGGCCTTCAGGCACTCACATGCGGCCCTGGCCAGGGTCCCGGTCACACCTGCAGACCCTCAAGCCCTTCCCTATGCCCCACTGACATAACCACCTGGCCCTGGGATCTGGTCCCACCGCGGGGCCCATTGTCCACTACCAGGACCCTCCTCTGCCTTCATCAGCACCAGGCGACCTGGTGTCCACTCCTGGGCCAGGGCAGGGGAACCCTGGCTACACCTGGTCGAGTCAGACCTCCTGAAGCACCAGTGGCTGGGGTGGTCCACCCTAACCCTGTCAGCCGCTCAGCCTTAAATGTGATCACTCGCTCAGTCAGTCGCCACCCACTCACTCACTCACCCACTCACTTATTCACTCACTCACCCACTCACTTATTCACCCATTCACTCATTCATTCACCCATTCACTCACTCACTTATTCACTCACTCTCTCACTCATTCATTAATTCGCCCATTCACTCACACTTTCACTCACTCACTTATTCACTCATACACTCATTCACTTATTTACTCACTCATTCACTCACTCATTAATTCACCCATTCACTCACTCACTTATTCACTCATAGACTCATACACTCACTCATTCACTCACGCATCCACTCATTCACTCACTCATTTACCCACTCACTCACTCACCCACTCACTTATTCACTCACTCACCCACTCACTTATTCACCCATTCACTCATTCATTCACCCATTCACTCACTCACTTATTCACTCACTCTCTCACTCATTCATTAATTCGCCCATTCACTCACACTTTCACTCACTCACTTATTCACTCATACACTCATTCACTTATTTACTCACTCATTCACTCACTCATTAATTCACCCATTCACTCACTCACTTATTCACTCATAGACTCATACACTCACTCATTCACTCACGCATCCACTCATTCACTCACTCATTTACCCACTCATTCACTCATTCACTCACTCACTCATTTATTCACCCATTCACTCACTCATTCATTCACTCACTCACTGACTCATTGACTCATTCCCTCACTCATTCACCCATTCACTTACTCATTCACTCACCCATTTATTCACTCACTCACTCATTTACTCATTCATTCACCCATTCACTCACTCACTGACTCATTGACTCATTCACTCATTCACCCATTCACTTACTCACTCACTCATTTACTCACTCATTCATTCATTGACTCATTAACTCATTCACTCTCTCATTCACTCACTCACTGACTCATTAACTCATTCACTCTCTCATGCATCCACTCATTCACTCACTCACTGACTCACTCATTCACTCACTCATTGACTCACTCATTTGGTTATTCACTCATTCACTCACTCACTGACTCATTCACTCACTCATTCACTGCTCACTTATTCACTCTTTCACTATCTCTTTCATTCACATTCATTCATTAACTCAGTCACTCACTCATTCACTCTCACTCATTCACTTACTCATTCACTCATTCACTCATCTATTCATTCACTCATTCACTCACTCATTCATTCACCCATTCACTCATTCATTCACCCATTCACTCACTCACTTATTCACTCATAGACTCATACACTCACTCACTCAT
The DNA here is from genome assembly GCF_000001405.40 of Homo sapiens. Lineage (NCBI taxonomy): Eukaryota > Metazoa > Chordata > Mammalia > Primates > Hominidae > Homo > Homo sapiens. Next base: position 153,281 of record NW_015148966.2, read on the forward strand.
TGACTCACTCACTCATTCACTCATGCATCCACTCATTCACTCACTCATTTACTCACTCACTCACTCATTCATTCACCCATTCACTCAATCATTCATTCACTCACTCACTGACTCATTGACTCATTCCCTCACTCATTCACCCATTCACTTATTCATTCACTCACCCATTTATTCACTCACTCACTCATTTACTCATTCATTCACCCATTCACTCACTCATTCACTCACTCACTAACTCATTGACTCATTCACTCACTCATTCCCCCTTCACTTACTCACTAACTTATTTACTCACTCATTCACTCACTCATTCATTGACTCATTAACTCATTCACTCTTTCACTCACTCACTGACTCATTCACTCATTCACTCACTCATTCACTCACTCACCCACTCATTGACTCACTCATTCACTTATTCACTCATTCACTCACTCACTGACTCATTCACTCATTCACTGCTTGCTTATTCACTCTTTCACTATCTCTCTCATTCACATTTATTCATTAACTCAGTCACTCACTCATTCACTCTCTCATTCACTTACTCATTTACTCACTCATTTACTCATTCACTCTCTCATTCACTTACTCATTTACTCACTCATTTACTCACTCACTCACCTGTTCACTCACTCGCTCACTCATTCACATTCATTTTAACTCACTCATTTACTCATAGACTCACTCATTTATCCACTTACTTATTCATTACCTCATTCATTCACTCACTCAATCATTTTCCCTTTCCCCACACTCCTGCCACATGTGAAGTGCTCTTTCTCTAGGCACCTGGGCTAAGACAGGACATGGGGAGGGAAAGGCACAGAAATGGAGAAGTAGGCAATCATAAAGAGCTTGGGACGGGTCCCTAGAGAGCTGGAAGCAAGTGCTCAGAACAGCCTTGAGGCACCTCTTCAACCCTAACCCCTCTGCAGCAGGACAAAGGGCCCAGCCCAGCCTCTCCCTTTCCTGCCATTCCTCCCATGGGAGACCTTCTGGTTGGACGCTCCACATGGGCAGTGGAGCAGCCGACCTTGGCTGGGGAGTGTGTGGCTGCCTGGGAGGGAGAGTCTAGCCACAGTGTCCAGCCACACACCTGTGGTCTGGGCAAGTGTTCATCACACAACAGCACCTTCTCAGCCAGAGCCCTTCAGGCCAAAGACTCACTGGGACCTTTCTGTGCTGGGACTGCTCGGACCAGTCAACAGCTTCCTGTCCAGAGGGTACTGAGCATTTCTGGATCTTGGTGGCCAGAGACCATCAAGTGACTTGAACTGGCCCTGCCCGCCTGGGGTCAGGAGACAGAAGCACAGGTGGACTCCTGGGCAATGCTGGGAGGGGGCTGCATGGTGAGGGAGGGGTTCTATCATTTGCCTGGAGGCTGCTGCCAGGAGCCCCTCTCCAGGGAGGGTGAGGCTGGCTGGCGCTACTTCAGTGGCAGCATGTGGCTGGCCTGAGGGACGCCTTGGCTCACTCACTCCTCAATCACTCATTTACTCATTCATTCACTCACTCAATCATTTTTCCTTTCGCCACACTCCTGCCGCATGTGCTCTCTCTCTAGGCATCCGGGTAAGACAAGACATGGGGAGTAAAAGGCACAGAAATGGAGAAATAGGTGACCATAAGGAGCTTTGGATGGGGCTGGGGCTGGCCTCTCCCTCCCAGGCAGCCACACATTCCCCAGCCAAGGTCGGCAGCTCCACTGCCCATGTGGAGGGTCCAACCAGGAGGTCGGCCATGGGAGGAATGGCAGGAAAGGGAAAGGCTGGGCTGGGCCCCCTGTCCTGCTGCAGAGGGATTAGTGTCAAAGAGGTGCCTTAAGGCTGTTCTGAGCACTCACTTCTGGGCACCAGGAACTCACAGGCTGCTGGGCATGGCACGGTGCCCAGGGAGAGTCTAGGGTGGGGTATGTGGGGAGGACCCCTGCAGGCCAGGGCTTGGGGGGGCCCTCGGAAACTGGGCTCTATCCGGCAGACACACCCATCTCCGCCTGCCACCGGCCGCTGGCCAGCCCGCAGTGAGCACCCACTGTTTACTTGGGTGAGGGGGAACCACAGGCCCCGCCCTGCCCACCCACGTGAAGCACGGGGCTGGAGCCAGCTCTGGGGCTACAAAAAGCTCCTGCCACCTTGGGTCCCTCCTCAGAGGCTGCTGAGGGACAGGGCACTCTTCCCCGCCGTCCACACAATGAGTGTTGGCCGGAGGAAGCTGGCCCTGCTCTGGGCCCTGGCTCTCGCTCTGGCCTGCACCCGGCATACAGGTACGGCTTGGCCCCTGGCCGCTCTACTGGTCCTGGGTGGTGCGGTACTGAGTGGGCCTCAGGCAGCTCAGTCTTTGCCCTGGGTTCCGGGCAGGCTGCATGTGCCATGAACGGCTCCCAGCAGCATAGCCCCTGACTGTGGCCTGGCCACGAACGAGCAGTTTCCCCTTGTGGGGTTGGGAAGGGATCTCTGGGCTTCGCGGACCTCTGAGGCTGGGCCATTCCCTGAGGCAGGGAAGTAGGAGCTCAGATCTCGGGCTTTCCCTCCCGGCCCGGATCCCTGCACCTGTCCCCAGAAGCCGACAGCACCTGGCCCACAGTATCTCCAGCTGCTCATGGCCCCTGCTGGGCCTGGTCGGGGCATCAGCCCCAGGCACCTGCCCTTGCACACCCCACACATGCCCAGTTCACCAGCTCACGTTCCCTGTCTGGGCCTCGATGGGGATCTCCTGCGGGGGGAGGTCTCAGCCTCTGAGCTGGGATGTGATGGTGAGGCCCACAAGGGAACTGTTTCACCCCCGCCCTGAGGCTAAGAGGGTGATGGGGGAGGCTCCAGGTCCTGTGGTCTGGACTGCCCCTTGCTGGGCCAGCAGTTCCCTTCCTCTGCTTCTGAGGGACACCTGGGACCGGGTCTGCTGGTGACCATGTGCCCCCATGGGGTAATGCCGGGGTTTGGAGGGGGGTGGGTGCTCCTGGGCTCCTGGAACAGCAGGGCAGGGACCTCAGCACTGCCGAGACCGCCACATGGCCCACCCAGGTCCCTCGCCCAGCCCTGTCCCCAGCCTCTGGCCCTCTGCCAGGCAGTCTCAGAGCAAGAAGAACCCTCTCCCGGTGTCTCCGTGCCACCCTCCACTGTGGCCTAGTCGGACTCTGCCCCGCCGTCCCTCGTCTGTACCACCCTCATCTCAGAAGCAGGAATTCTGTCCCGGGGCTGCTCCCAGGAGAGGGCGGAGCTGGGGCTGGGGTCTGCGGGGGCTTAGAAGGTGGGGGCAGGCCTGGGCTGGGACTAGATAAGTGAGGCTCAGGCCGTCATCTCCGTCTCCCCCACGGGGCTTGCAGATGCTAACACCCCTCCGCCCACTGACGGATTTGATGCAGTGGGCCCCACTGGGGCCAGAGGGTGTGAGGGCGAGGGGGGTCTCCCAGCCTGGCCTGAGGACCCCTATGCCAGTTGCGGGAACTGGAAAGCTGGGGCTGGGGTGCAGGCGAATCACAGCTTTCCCTAAGACCCCTCTCTGCAGGTCCTGGGCTGGGCCGGGCGCCCCTCCCACCATGCTGGTGCTGTGCGGGGCTGTGCGGGGCTGTGCGGGGCTGGGGTCCAGTCCCACGATGATGGTGCTGGGCGGGGCTGTGCGGGGTTGTGTGGGGGGTCTGGTCCCCCCATGCTGGGGTGCTGTGCGGGGCTGTACGAGGCTGTGAGGGGCTGTGCGAGGCTGGGGTCTGGTCCCACCATGCTGGTTCTGTGCGGGGCTGTGCGGGGCTGTGCGGGGCTGTGCGGGGCTGTGCGGGGCTGTGCGGGGCTGTGCGGGGCTGTGCGGGGCTGTGCGGGGCTGGGGTCTGGTCCCACCATGCTGGCTCTGTGCAGGGCTGTGCGGGGCTGGCGTCTGGCCCCACCATGCTGGTTCTGTGCGGGGCTGTGTGGGGCTGTGTGGGGCTGTGCGGGGCTGGGGTCTGGTCCCACCATGCTGGCTCTATGCAGGGCTGTGCGGGGCTGGGGTCTGGTCCCACCATGCTGGCTCTGTGCAGGGCTGTGCAGGGCTGGCGTCTGGCCCCACCATGCTGGTTCTGTGCGGGGCTGTGTGGGGCTGTGTGGGGCTGTGTGGGGCTGGGGCTGGTCCCACCATGCTGGCTCTGCGACGGGCTGTGCGGGGCTGTGTGGGGCTGGGGCTGGTCCCACCATGCTGGCTCTGTGCAGGGCTGTGCGGGGCTGGGGTCTGGTCCCACCATGCTGGCTCTGTGCAGGGCTGTGCGAGGCTGTGGTCTGGTCCCACTATGCTGGCTCTGTGCAGGGCTGTGCGGGGCTGGGCCGGGCTGAAATCTGGTGACATTCTGCACATTAGCACAGTCTCTATGGACCCTGAAGATCAGCCTCCTGCAGGGTCTGCTGCTTGTAGGGAGGCAGGGTCCTCCAGGTGGTCTTGGGGCCGACCCCTCCCATGCCTTTGACTGCTCCAGCCCCTCAGTGGGATCACTGTACTGGACAGGGGTCCCAAGCGTGGCAGCGTGGGGGCCAGGGCCTGGCACGCTTGGCAGTGAGTGGGAATGAATAGATAGGGATGCCAGATCGGGGCGAAGGGTCCTGACGCCACCTGCTCCATGGGGCCAGGCTGAGGAGATGCTCCTGGAGGGTCTGGGCTCAGACTTCAGACTCACATGGACAGAGGCCTCCTAGGACCCCCCCAACCCAGCACAGAGAGAGCCCTTGCCACGGGCCACCCCCACGCACTGTGGCCTCCCGTCCCTCTGGTGTCCATGCTGCATCTGTGGCCGCAGCCTGAGCCCCCTCAGCCACCCTGCATCTGGGCTCAGCCCCCCTCCTCTTTCTGCAGGCCATGCCCAGGATGGCTCCTCCGAATCCAGCTACAAGCACCACCCTGCCCTCTCTCCTATCGCCCGGGGGCCCAGCGGTGAGTCTGAGTGTCCGGCCCCCACCCTAAGCCTGTCAGATTCCACCCTCCACCGTGTGGCACGGCCCCTAGGGCCACTGGTCTTAGGGTGGCTCCCCAGCTGGCCACTGCTGAGGACCAAACCTGGGGGGACAGGAGGACACCCCCACATCCATGGCCCTGGTCGGTCACACTACCTGCCTCTCCTTGGGCCAGCCCCCTGCAGCGCTTAGGCTCTGAAGGAGCTGCAGGGCGGGGCAGATTTGCTGTGCCCATGTCCCGTGGGAGCCGGTCACCCTCCGGGGATCTGGAGCTGGGTCCTGCCTTGGTGTCCCCCCCGTTCACCTCCTGACGCTTCAGCAACACGGGCATCTCCCTTGGCGCCGGCCGTCCCCATGTGGCTCGTGCTAGCGGGAGCCCGTGGAGGCCCAGCAGCCCTGGCAGAGGCAGGGCAGGCAAGGGCAGCCAGGGCAGGGGGCTTCAGGCAAACTCTCAGATTGCATTTCTCCAAATCGGGCCAGACAGGCCTAATCTCAGCACCTGAGAGATTGTCTTGAGCCGCTGATGCAGACTCAGGTTCTGAGGCCCATGGGCATGTGAGAGCTGGCAGCCCCTGGGGACTTCTTCCTGGTGACAGCCGGGAGGAATGAAAAAGTCACCGAACGCAGGGTGTGTGGTCACAAGTACACAACGTGCAGATGGTGGGTGGGTGGGAGGGGGCCCAACACGCAGCAGAATCCGGAGTTGGCTTCGGAGCCAGGAGCTGGGACCTGCTGACTCTGGAACGTCTCCTCTGGCTGCGGAGCCCCCGCCCCACGTGGGGCCGTGCGTGAATCCTACCAGCCCCTGTCTCCGCAGGGGTCCCGCTCCGTGGGGCGACTGTCTTCCCATCTCTGAGGACCATCCCTGTGGTACGAGGTGAGTGGAGCCCGGAGGCCTGGGTGGGGAAGGGTCATAGCTTTGCTGAGCTCCCCGCTCAGGCCTGGAGGTGCCGGGTGGAGAGGGGCCCCAGCTTTCCGGGTGAACACTGGGTGGGTATTGGAGCCAGAGGGCCCAGCATCTCCCTGCACACGTTTCTGGGACTTCCCAGATGCAGGAAGGACCCCTGGGTGCCCCGTCCAGGGCAGCAGCACTTCCTGCAGGACCCTGGGGAGGGGCAGGAGGTACAGGGCAGAGGCAGGGGGTGCAGGGCGAGGATGAGGGCGACGCCCCCAAACACCATGCTGCTTCCACCGCAGCCTCCAACCCGGCGCACAACGGGCGGGTGTGCAGCACCTGGGGCAGCTTCCACTACAAGACCTTCGACGGCGACGTCTTCCGCTTCCCCGGCCTCTGCAACTACGTGTTCTCCGAGCACTGCGGTGCCGCCTACGAGGATTTTAACATCCAGCTACGCCGCAGCCAGGAGTCAGCGGCCCCCACGCTGAGCAGGGTCCTCATGAAGGTGGATGGCGTGGTCATCCAGCTGACCAAGGGCTCCGTCCTGGTCAACGGCCACCCGTGAGTCTGGGTTCTGGGATGGTGGGGGCCACGCGGCGTGTGGGGTGGCATTTCCGGGTGGTTGCGGGGTTTCGCGGTCCTGGGAGGGATGTGGATTTCTCAGGAAGCCCCTGAGAGCAGAGCTGGACATGGGCCCTCCCTCGTCCCCCGAGTGGCCCACCTGCCCCTCCTGGGATCCCCAGGCTCTTATTCTGCCCCTTCCTAGCTCCTCGTGACCCCCGAGCTCCAGAGGTCAATGTCCCCATCCCAGACGCGACTTCACGGTCACGATGACCGTGTCACATTTGCGACCGCAGGCATCTGCCCTGCCTGGGGTCTCTCCTCACTGCGCTCCCAGCCCCTCAGCCCTGCCTTCCTCCACAGGGTCCTGCTGCCCTTCAGCCAGTCTGGGGTCCTCATTCAGCAGAGCAGCAGCTACACCAAGGTGGAGGCCAGGCTGGGCCTTGTCCTCATGTGGAACCACGATGACAGCCTGCTGGTGAGGCTGGGTGGGGGTGTCCCGGTGTGCAACTCCAGCCCTCGAGGGCCGGCCTGCTCCCACAGCCTCTCCGGAGAGGGTAGAAGGTGCCCTGGGCCCAGTCAGGGTCAGACTCCACCCCACACAGCAGGCAAGAACAGGTGCCCAGACACCAATGGTGTCCCGGGGTCTGTGCCCCCAGGATGGAGACTGCTTTCGGGGGTGTCTCTTCCGTGGGCCTCGGCCCCTCCTCGGAAATCTCAGGCTCGAGCCTCATCTGTCCATCTGCCCCTGGTGGGGATGGGTGTCTGATGTCTCTCCCTTTGCAGCTGGAGCTGGACACCAAATACGCCAACAAGACCTGTGGGCTCTGTGGGGACTTCAACGGGATGCCCGTGGTCAGCGAGCTCCTCTCCCACAGTAAGGCCCCACATCGCCCTCAGCCCCTTCCTCAGTGTCCCCTGGGGGCTCAGTGTTGTGTGCACACACACCCTCTGACACTCCGGGCACACACATGCACAGATACACGGATGCAGCTGCCCTCCCTCCTAGCACAGCACACACGTGCACACACGCGATCCCGCAACGCCGGCCTGTCTCAGGAGTGCAGGCAGGGAGCAAATCGCCCATTGGGCCCCTTGCTCTGTGTGGCTGCTCTGGGTGGCGACCCCTGACTGCACGCCCTCTCCTGAAATGACAGACCTGCCTCCTTCTTGGTCTTTGAGTCTCTGCCACCAGGCAGTGGCCTTGCAAATGTGACCTGCACCAGCCAAGGCCCCACTCCCTGCCTCCCCCTGCCAGGCCCATGAAGCCCCATACAAGCCCCGAGTACAGGGTGTCCCTCTGTGGGGAACTGAGTCTGCCTGGGTGTCCAGCAGCCCTTGGCAAGGCAGGCTCAGTGCTGGGTTGGCTGGGTTCTGTGGACTGGGAGGTGTTCAGGCTCCAGCCAGCCTGGCAGGAGGAGACCAGGGTCCTGGGTCAGTTGAGGCCTCAGCTGGCGGCACCCTGTGGCCCGGACACCAACCTCCTGGGCTGTTTCTCCCCATCATTCCAGACCCCCTGAGGGTCCCAGCAGCATGCATGGGGTGGCCAAGCGGGTGCAGTCAGGACAACTCAGGCATCCAGATGGGGCAGGAGCCACCGATGGCCCTTCTAACCCCACCCCAGGGACCCGGCCCTGGGGGCTCTGCTGCTCGGGTGCTGGGCTGACGGGTACCGGGACCTGCAGGCAGAGCCCGCCTCTGTGCTTGCCGCAGACACCAAGCTGACACCCATGGAATTCGGGAACCTGCAGAAGATGGACGACCCCACGGACCAGTGTCAGGACCCTGTCCCTGAACCCCCGAGGAACTGCTCCACTGGCTTTGTAAGCCTTGGAGGGAACAGAGGGCCCAGCAGGTTGAGCAGGAGGGGTTGTGAGCCTGGGAACCGGTCCAGATCCCCCACCGAGGACTCAGACGGGCTGTGGCCTTTGTCCTAGGGCATCTGTGAGGAGCTCCTGCACGGCCAGCTGTTCTCTGGCTGCGTGGCCCTGGTGGACGTCGGCAGCTACCTGGAGGCTTGCAGGCAAGACCTCTGCTTCTGTGAAGACACCGACCTGCTCAGCTGCGTCTGCCACACCCTTGCCGAGTACTCCCGGCAGTGCACCCATGCAGGGGGGTTGCCCCAGGACTGGCGGGGCCCTGACTTCTGCCGTGAGTGTCCCAGCCCCCTGTCCCCCAACCCCTTTGGCAGGGAGGGCAGGGGCAGGCAGACGTGAGCCCTCTCTCTGCCTCCCGCAGCCCAGAAGTGCCCCAACAACATGCAGTACCACGAGTGCCGCTCCCCCTGCGCAGACACCTGCTCCAACCAGGAGCACTCCCGGGCCTGTGAGGACCACTGTGTGGCCGGCTGCTTCTGCCCTGAGGGTGAGGCTCCCCCGCCCCTGGGAAACACAGGTGCACCCCGACAACTAGGGGGCTGTGCTCCCATGGCCAAGCCTCGGAAGAAGGACCCCAGTCCTAGTGTCCCGGGCCCCTGAGGCTGACTGAGGCCCCTGTCCTGGGCCGCTGAGGCTGGCTGAGGATCCTGTCCTGGGCCCCCTGAGGCTGGCTGAGGCCCCTCTCCTGGGCCCCTAAGGCTGGTTGAGAATCCTGTCCTGAGCCTCCTGAGGCTGGCTGATGCCCCTGTCCCGGGCCCCTGAGGCTGGCTGAGGCCCCTGTCCTGGGCCCCTGAGGCTGGCTGAGGATCCTGTCCTGGGCCCCCTGAGGCTGGCTGATGCCCCTGTCCCGGGCCCCTGAGGCTGGCTGAGGATCCTGTCCTGAGCCCCCTGAGGCTGGCTGATGCCCCTGTCCCGGGCCCCTGAGGCTGGCTGAGGCCCCTGTCCCGGGCCCCTGAGGCTGGCTGAGGATCCTGTCCTGGGCCCCCTGAGGCTGGCTGAGGCCCCTGTCCTGGGCCCCTGAGGCTGGCTGAGGCCCCTGTCCTGGCCCCCTGAGGCTGGCTGAGGCCCCTGTCCCGGGCCCCTGAGGCTGGCTGATGCCCCTGTCCCGGGCCCCTGAGGCTGGCTGAGGCCCCCGTCCTGGGCCCCTGGAGCTGGCTGAGGCCCCAGCTCGCTGTGGGGCCGCCATGTTGTTCCCCTGCAACGCCCACTGCGTGGACACAGCAGGCGCCCGTCATAGGCCTGCCTGACCCCTGCAGGGACGGTGCTTGACGACATCGGCCAGACCGGCTGTGTCCCTGTGTCAAAGTGTGCCTGCGTCTACAACGGGGCTGCCTATGCCCCAGGGGCCACCTACTCCACAGACTGCACCAACTGGTAGGTCCCAGCCCCCCTCCAGGCCACCAAGGATGTGCTATGGGACAGACCTGCTGGGGGTTGCAACCCAGGCCGGCAGGCTCCCTCGTCTGGGCTACGGTGTAGGCAGGCCTGGGGTGAGACCCGGTCAGCCTCCTGACGCGGAGGCTGGAGGCTGGTCTCCTGGGGCCGGCACCCACGTGGCACCATCTCTTGCTCTCAGCACCTGCTCCGGAGGCCGGTGGAGCTGCCAGGAGGTTCCATGCCCGGGTACCTGCTCTGTGCTTGGAGGTGCCCACTTCTCAACGTTTGACGGGAAGCAATACACGGTGCACGGCGACTGCAGCTATGTGCTGACCAAGGTACGGCCTGGCTGCCTGGGGTGCTCGCCGGACAGAGGGGGCCCATGGCCAGCCTCCCACAGGCTCCCCCAGCTTGGCTGCATGTCACTGCTGCCCCTGGGGTCACCCTTGGGGGTCCCCGATGTTGAGACCTCAAGGAAGCACTCCAGCTCCCCAGCGCTAGTCCTCACAGGGCCATGAAGGCTGCAGATCAGAGCCTCCAGCACCCACCCAGCATTGGGCCTCACCCAGCACTGGGCCCTCTGCACCTTGGGCTGTTTATTTAACAGACTTTACTCTTGAGAATAGTTTTAGGTTAACAAGGAAATTGAGCACAAAGTACTCCTGCCCCAACACACAGTGTCCCCACGATGAGACCCTGCACCAAACACACAGTCTCTCCCAGAGGAGACCCTGCACCCAACACACAGTCTCCCTATGGTGAGACCCTGCACCCAACACACAGTCTACCCAAGATGAGACCCTGCACCCAACACACAGTCTCCCTATGGTGAGACCCTGCACCCAACATACAGTCTCTGCACGATGAGACCCTGCACCCAACACACAGTCTCCCACGATGAGACCCTGCACCCAACACACAGTCTCCCTATGGTGAGACCCTGCACCCGACACACAGTCTCTCCACAATGAGACCCTGCACCCGACACACAGTCTCTGCACGATGAGAGCCTGCACCCAACACACAGTCTCCCACGATGAGACCCTACACCCAACACACAGTCTCTCCACGATGAGACCCTGCACCCAACACACAGTCTCTCCACGATGAGACCCTGCACCCAACACACAGTCTCCCCAAGATGAGACCCTGCACCCGACACACAGTCTCTGCACGATGAGACCCTGCACCCAACACACAGTCTCCCCAAGATGAGACCCTGCACCCAACACACAGTCTCCCCAAGATGAGACCCTGCACCCGACACACAGTCTCTGCACGATGAGACCCTGCACCCAACACACAGTCTCCCCAAGATGAGACCCTGCACCCAACACACAGTCTCCCCAAGATGAGACCCTGCACCCAACACACAGTCTCCCACGATGAGACCCTGCACCCAACACACAGTTTCTCCACGATGAGACCCTGCACCCAACACACAGTCTCCCCAAGATGAGACCCTGCACCCGACACACAGTCTCTGCACGATGAGACCCTGCACCCAACACACAGTCTCCCCAAGATGAGACCCTGCACCCAACACACAGTCTCCCCAAGATGAGACCCTGCACCCGACACACAGTCTCTGCACGATGAGACCCTGCACCCAACACACAGTCTCCCCAAGATGAGACCCTGCACCCAACACACAGTCTCCCCAAGATGAGACCCTGCACCCAACACACAGTCTCCCACGATGAGACCCTGCACCCAACACACAGTCTCCCTATGGTGAGACCCTGCACCCAACACACAGTCTCTGCACGATGAGACCCTGCACCCAACACACAGTCTCCCCAAGATGAGACCCTGCACCCAACACACAGTCTCTCCCAGATGAGACTCTGCACCCAACACAGTCTCCCCAAGATGAGACCTTGCACTCAACACATAGTCTCCCCCGATGAGACCCTGCACCCAACACACAGTCTCCCACAATGAGACCCTGCACCCAATACACAGTTTCCCTATGATGATACCCTGCGCTGGGGTGGAGGCTGCACTGGTACCCTCACCTCCCAGGTCATGGTTGACATCAGCGACCCTCGTGGTGGTGAAATTCCACGTTTAAGACAGATGTGCAGTGTCTTGTTCCTGCCAGGAAGTTTCACGCAGACAGCTCCACTGCCCTGAAACCCCTTGGAGCTCCTCACCCCTCTCTCGCCCAGCCCCTGGCAGCTGCTGGCATTTGCACCTTCTGAGTGCTGTCTTTCCCAGAGGGTCCTATAGTTGGCGTTGCAGAGTGTGGCCTCCTCAGGGTGCATGCAGATTTCTGTGTGTGCCTGGGTGTCCACACCTGGGGGCCTCCTAGCACACCTCCCTCTCGGGGACTGGGATGGTGGAGTGGGGTTTTCTAGTGAGGGAGAGGAGCACAGCCGGGTGGACTGGCAGGGCCAGGTGGGCTGGGCGTTGGATGGAGTGTGAGGACCCCTGGTGTGTCGTGTTCCGCAGCCCTGTGACAGCAGTGCCTTCACTGTACTGGCTGAGCTGCGCAGGTGCGGGCTGACGGACAGCGAGACCTGCCTGAAGAGCGTGACACTGAGCCTGGATGGGGCGCAGACGGTGAGTGGAGCCTGGCAGGGCAAACCCCGGGAAGAGGGAAGGGGCCTGTCTCTTCTGCAAGTCACCTCTGCCCAAGCCCTTCATCCCTGGCATGAACAGCGAGAGGCGGGGACCCTCTGGCAACACTGGCTGTGTCCATTACTTATGGGTCCACGTGACTGTCCCTAAAGGGAGAAGCTCAGGGCCGGGCCTCCCGGGCCGCCATACCTGACCCAAGGGGCCCCAGGAAGGAGGGACTGGGCGCACCTGCGGCCAGCATGGCTTCTCCACTGAAGTCAATTTATGTTTAGTTAATAACCTTGGTTTTCACTGAAGAATGAAAGGCATGGTCCTCGCAGAAAATTCAGAAAATCAGGCGAGCACAAGGCCACCTTGTAGGAGCCGCAGCTGCAGGGAAAGGCCTCCTAGGCACCTGCAGGCACATTTCACAGCCTCCGCGGGGCTGAGGTGCCGCAAGCCTGCCCCGCGCTCACACATCTGTCTGGCTGCCCTCAGGTGGTGGTGATCAAGGCCAGTGGGGAAGTGTTCCTGAACCAGATCTACACCCAGCTGCCCATCTCTGCAGGTGAGGGCAGTGGCTTCTTCCCCACCCCGGGGCTGCCTGGGGTCCCGCCCCACAGCCCCCAGCAAAACCCTTGTCCTTTGTGTCCCCAGCCAACGTCACCATCTTCAGACCCTCAACCTTCTTCATCATCGCCCAGACCAGCCTGGGCCTGCAGCTGAACCTGCAGCTGGTGCCCACCATGCAGCTGTTCATGCAGCTGGCGCCCAAGCTCCGTGGGCAGACCTGCGGTAAGAGGGCTGCCTTCTGGGCTTGGAGCCCACCCACTCTGGCCAGGGCGCATGGTCCTCAACCTGCCTAACCCGCCCCCAGGTCTCTGTGGGAACTTCAACAGCATCCAGGCCGATGACTTCCGGACCCTCAGTGGGGTGGTGGAGGCCACCGCTGCGGCCTTCTTCAACACCTTCAAGACCCAGGCCGCCTGCCCCAACATCAGGAACAGCTTCGAGGACCCCTGCTCTCTGAGCGTGGAGAATGGTACGGGTGTCCACGGCTCGCCTCTGTGCTGGCCGCCTGGCGCTGGTTCACCCGCTTCCATTTGGCACTGCAGGCAGCGAGGCCGGCCCTGCGTGTGCCTGTGAGCCGGGTGGGGTGGCTCACGAAGGGGCCCAAGGACAGGCTCATGGTGGGCGCCCAACCCAGCTTATGTGGAGCTTCAGGAATGTGGGGCATCTGCTTCAGGGTCAAAGAAAGGGTACAAGTCTCTGTTGGTCAACATCCGCCCTGACCGCCTACCCCTGCACAGGGTGGAGTGGTGGGGACGTGGGGAATGGATTCACCCACTCACCCACCCGTTCACCCATTCACTCACTCACCCACTCACCCACTCACCCACCTCACTCGCCGACTCAACCATTCACTCACCCATTCGCCCACTCACCTCACTCACTCACCCACTCACTCACTCACCTCACTCACTCACCCACTCACTCACTCACCTCACTCACTCACCCATTCACCCATTCACTCACTCACCCACTCACCCACTCACCCACCTCACTCGCCGACTCAACCATTCACTCACCCATTCGCCCACTCACTCACCTCACTCACTCACCCACTCACTCACTCACCTCACTCACTCACCCATTCACCCATTCACTCACTCACCCACTCACCCACTCACTCACCCATTCACCCATTCACCCACTCACTCACCTCACTCACTGACTCAACTATTCACTCACCCATTCGCTCACTCACTCACCTCACTCACTCGCCCACTCACCCACTCACGCTTTCACCCACTCACCTACTCACTCACCCACTCACCCATTCACCCACTCACTCACCCACTCACCGACTCACCCATTCACCCACTCACCCACTCACTCACCCACTCACCGACTCAACCATTCACTCACCCATTCACCCATTCACTCACTCGCCCACTCACCCACTCACCCATTCACCCACTCACCTACTCACTCACCCACTCACCCATTCACCCATTCACCCACTCACTCACCCACTCACCGACTCAACCATTCACTCACCCATTGCCCACTCACTCACCTCACTCACTCACCCACTCACTCACTCACCTCACTCACTCACCCACTCACCCATTCACCCATTCACTCACTCACCCACTCACCCATTCACCCATTCACTCACTCACCCACTCACCCATTCACCCATTCACTCACTCACCCACTCACCCATTCACCCATTCACTCACTCACCCACTCACCCATTCACCCATTCACTCACTCACCCACTCACCCACTCACTCACCCATTCACCCATTCACCCACTCACTCACCTCACTCACTGACTCAACCATTCACTCACCCATTTGCCCACTCACTCACCTCACTCACGCGCCCACTCACCCACTCACCCATTCACCCACTCACCTACTCACCCACTCACCCATTCACCCATTCACCCACTCACTCACCCACTCACCGACTCACCCATTCACCCACTCACCCACTCACTCACCCACTCACCGACTCAACCATTCACTCACCCATTCACCCATTCACTCACTCGCCCACTCACCCACTCACCCACTCACCCACTCACCTACTCACTCACTCACTCACCCATTCACCCACTCACCTACTCACTCACCCACTCACCCATTCACCCATTCACCCACTCACTCACCCACTCACCAACTCACCCATTCACCCACTCACCCACTCACTCACCCACTCACTGACTCAACCATTCACTCACCCATTCACCCATTCACTCACTCGCCCACTCACCCACTCACCCACTCACCTATTCACTCACTCACTCACCCACTCACCCATTCACCCATTCACCCACTCACTCACCCACTGACTGACTCAACCATTCACTCGCCTATTCGCCCACTCACTCACCTCACTCACTCACCCACTCACTCACCTCACTCACTCACCCACTCACCCATTCACCCACTCACCTACTCACTCACCCACTCACCCATTCACCCCACTCACCTACTCACTCACCCACTCACCCATTCACCCATTCACCCACTCACTCACCCACTCACCGACTCACCCATTCACCCACTCACCGACTCACCCATTCACACACTCACCGACTCAACCATTCACTCACCCATTCGCCCACTCATTCACCTCACTCACTCACCCACTCACCCACTCACTCATCCATTCACCCATTCACACACTCACTCACTTACTCACTCACTCAACTTACTCACTCACCCACTCACCCATTCACTCATTCACCCACTCATCCACTCACCCACTCACTCACCCACTCACTCACCCATTCACCCACTCA
Source organism: Homo sapiens (assembly GCF_000001405.40). Classification (NCBI taxonomy): domain Eukaryota; kingdom Metazoa; phylum Chordata; class Mammalia; order Primates; family Hominidae; genus Homo; species Homo sapiens. Next base: position 168,785 of record NW_015148966.2, read on the forward strand.
CTCACCTACTCACTCAGTCACCTCACTCACTCACTCACGCATTCACTCACTCACTCACCCACTCACCCACTCACCCATTCACTCACCCATTCACCCATTCATCCACTCACTCACCTCACTCACTCACTCAACTTACTCACCCACTCACCCATTCACCCATTCACCCCCTCACTCACCCACTCACCCACTCACTCACCCATTCACCCATTCACCCACTCACTCACCCACTCACCCACTCACTCACCTACTCAACCACCCACTCACCCACTCACTTACCCATTCACCCACTCACCCACTCACTCACCCATTCACCCACTCACGAACTCACTCACCCACTCACCCACTCACTCACTCACCCATTCACCCACTCACCCACTCACTCACCCATTCACCCACTCACCCACTCACTCACCCACTCATCCATTCACTAACTCACCCATTCACCCACTCACCCACTCAACACTCACTCACCCACTCACCCATTCACCCACTCACCCACTCATCCATTCACTCACTCACCCACTCACCCACTCAACACTCACTCACCCACTCACCCATTCACTCACTCACCCATTCACCCACTCACCCACTCGCTCACCCATTCACCCACTCACCTACTCACTCACTCACTCATCCACTCATTCACTCACTCACTCACTCACTCACTCACTCACTCACTCACTCAGTCATTCACTTCGCCTTCAGAGCTTGGGCGCCAGCCGTGGGGAGGTGGGATCCCATTTGCTGGTTCTGGCCTTCTTCCTGCAGCCTGGGAAGCCAGGGTCCAGTGAGCCCAGTGGAGGGGCCAGAAGGGCCTTGGTTTGTCTGTCCACAGTGGTGGTCACTAGCGTCCCTGGAAGGCGGCACTGTGAGAGGCTGTGAGGGGCTGGGTGGGACATGCAGGAAACGAGAGAAGCCTCGGTTCTGGATGTTGTACCCTGCGTTTGGGGGAGCTTTTCCTCGGGGAGGGCGCCACACCACCCAGGCTGAGTGTGTAGCAGGATGAAGGGCCCAACATCAGACTGCCCAGAGAAGCTGGCCACCCAAACCCCACACCAGAGGCCAAGCTGGGTGGGATGAGTGTGCTGCCTGATCTTAATCCTAACCCTATCCCTCCTCTGTCCACAGAGAAGTATGCTCAGCACTGGTGCTCGCAGCTGACCGATGCCGACGGCCCCTTCGGCCGGTGCCATGCTGCCGTGAAGCCGGGAACCTACTACTCGGTAACATCTGCCGCCTCTTGGCCCGGTGGGGCTCCAGCCACTGAGCCTCACGGCTGCCTCCAGGAGGGCTGGGAGGGCACTGGTGGGCTCAGCAGGCAGGACTAACCTTTCTAGGCTGTGATGGGCACCAGGGGCTGGAACCCAGTCTGTCTGTCCAGCTCCATTCCCCACATCCCCACCCACCCATTCACTCATTCACACATTCACCACTCACCCACACACTCACCCATTCACCTACTCACTCACCCGTTCACCCATTCACTCACCCACTCACTCACCCATTCACCCATTTACCCACTCACCCATTCACTCACTCACCCACTCATCCACCCATTCACCCACTCACTCACCCATTCACCCATTTGCCCCCCCACTCACTCACCTATTCACCCATTTACCCACTCACCCATTCTCTCACTCGCCCACTCACCCATTCACTCACTCATCCACTCACCCACCCATTCACCCACTCACTCACCCGTTCACCCATTCGCCCCCCCACTCACCCATTCACTCACTCATTCACTAACTTACTCACTCACTCACTCACCCACTAGCTCTTTCACTCACTCACTCACTCATTCATTCACTCATATCTTCACTGACTCATTCACTCATTTACCCACTCACTAATTCCTTCACCTACTCATCTACTTACTCATTCACTCATCCGCTCACTCATTTACTCACTCATTCACGAATTTCTTCACTCATTTACTCATTTACTCACTCACTAATTCCTTCACTTATTCATTACTCACTCACTCATCCACTCACTCACCCACTCACTCACTCATCCACTCACTCACTCATCCACTCACCCACTCACTCACTCATTCCTTCATTCATTCCTTCACTCACTCATTCACTCATTTACTCACTCACTAATTCCTTCACCTACTCATTCATTCATCCACTCATCCACTCACTCACTCATCCACTCACTCATCCACTCACTCATCCACTCACTCGCTCATTCCCTCATTCATTCCTTCACTCACTCATTCACTCATTTACTGACTCACTAATTCCTTCACCTACTCATTCATCCACTCACTCACCCACTCACTCATCCACTCACTCACTCATCCACTCATTACTCATCCACTCACTCATCCACTCACTGATTCCCTCATTCATTCCTTTACTCATTCACTCATTTACTCACTCACTAATTCCTTCACCTACTCATTCATTCACGCACTCATCCACTCACTCACTCACTCATCCACTCACTCATCCACTCACTCACTCATCCACTCACTCGCTCATTCCCTCATTCATTCCTTCACTCACTCATTCACTCATTTACTGACTCACTAATTCCTTCACCTACTCATTCATCCACTCACTCACCCACTCACTCATCCACTCATTACTCATCCACTCACTTACTCATCCACTCACTGATTCCCTCATTCATTCCTTCACTCACTCATTCACTCATTTACTCACTAATTCCTTCACCTACTCATTCACTCACTCATTCATCCACTCATTCACTCACTCACTCATCCACTCACTCACTTATTCCCTCATTCGTTCCTTCACTCATTGGTTAACCATGTTTATGGCATTTTTCTTGCACTTCCAGCCCTACACTAGGCCCAGGGGCTAAACTTCAGGGGTTTGTTGCCCACCTGGCCCCAGGGGCCAAATGAGAATTAGGCCAAGGCTGAGCTGATGTGCTGTGTCTGAGGCAAGCTGGTCTTGGCTGGACCTGTTGGGTCACAGAGATGAAGGATCTGGTTCTCCCAGTAACCCCTGCTCTGCACAGTGGTTCTGCTCCATGACATGCCAAGCAATTCTGCTGAGGGGGCAGGATGCCTGTGAGGACTCACAGAGGGGTCCTGGGGGCAGGAAGACCTGGGATGGGAGGACCCTGGCTGCTGGATGTGTGGCCTGCAGGGCGTGGGGGGCCACCAGGTGTGGGCTGGGGTCTCTGATGCCCCGATGACCCCCTTCCCTGCAGAACTGCATGTTTGACACCTGCAACTGTGAGCGGAGCGAGGACTGCCTGTGCGCCGCGCTGTCCTCCTACGTGCACGCCTGTGCCGCCAAGGGCGTGCAGCTCGGCGGCTGGAGGGACGGCGTCTGCAGTGAGTGCCTGCCAAGCCCAGCCCCTTTCCCTCGCTGGGTGGCCGCGGGTCTTGGGGTGCCCCCAGTGTGCACAGGTTGCTCTAAGGGCCCCCGTCCTCTGTGCTGGGCTTGAGGGCAAGGAGCGCCCAGGTCAGTGTGGCCTTGGACCCGGCCGAGGAGGGGAGGGGAGGGTAGCCGAGAGGGCTGGGCTCACTCACTGCTGGCTGCCCACTGCCGGGCTGTGTGTCCTGAGAATCCCCTCTTCCTGGCATCCCGCAGCGAAGCCTATGACCACTTGCCCCAAGTCAATGACGTACCACTACCATGTCAGCACCTGCCAGCCCACCTGCCGCTCCCTGAGCGAGGGGGACATCACCTGCAGTGTTGGCTTCATCCCCGTGGATGGCTGCATCTGTCCCAAGGGCACCTTCCTGGACGACACGGGCAAGTGTGTGCAGGCCAGCAACTGTCCCTGCTACCACAGAGGCTCCATGATCCCCAATGGGGAGTCGGTGCACGACAGCGGGGCTATCTGGTAAGAGCTCCCGCTGTGGACTGGGGGGTCCCTCGTGTCTCCTGGCCCAGGCTGAGGCTCTGACCACCATCTCCTCACAGCACCTGCACACATGGGAAGCTGAGCTGCATCGGAGGCCAAGCCCCCGCCCCAGGTGAGTGCCAGAAAGGAGGCACTGTGGCCCCCAGCCTCCTCATCTCTATAAGAAATCCTGAAAAATGGCTTCAGGGTTAGCCCCACCACAAGTCAGCGGGGCTGGTGGTTGTCCATCAGCTGCTCAGTGTCAGGCATGGTTTGTGCCCTCTAGGCAGCAAGGGGGAAGAAGGGAGGGTGTGGGGCGCACATATGACACTCACACCCACTCATGCACATGCTCACACACCCACTCATGCACACGCTGACACGCCCACTCATGCACACACACCCATTCATGCACACACTCACACTCATGCACATGCTCACACACCCACTCATGCACACGCATTCACACCCTCATGCACACGCACTCACACCCACTTATGCAACACTCACACACCCACTCATACACACGCACTCACACCCACTCATGCACACACACCCATTCATACTCATGCACACGCTCACACACCCACTCATGCACACACACCGTCATGCACCCACACTCATGCACACGCTCACACACCCACATGCACACGCACTCACACCCACCCACTCATGCACACCACACCCACTCATGCACACGCACTCACACACCCACTTATGGACACGCTCACACATCCACTCATGCACATGCACACACACCCACACATGCACACACACCCACTCATGCACACACACTCATACTCATGCACACACACTCACACCCAGTTATGCAACGCTCACACCCACTCATGGACACGCTCACACACCCACTCATGCACATGCACTCACACCCACTCATGCACACGCACCCACTCAATGTGCACGCACATGGCACAGACACGTCCTCCCTGAACACATGTTTGAGGCACCGCAGCAGCCTGTGGCTGGCCCCCTGACGGCCCCTCCCTCCCCAGTGTGTGCTGCGCCCATGGTGTTCTTTGACTGCCGAAATGCCACGCCCGGGGACACAGGGGCTGGCTGTCAGAAGAGCTGCCACACACTGGACATGACCTGTGTAAGTCCCTGAGGACTCCCCAATGACAGACCCTCCATCTGCCCCTGCCTGCTAAGGGCGCCTGTCCCCAGGGTGGGCAGTGGTGAGCCTCTGACACATTAGGCCATGGGCTGCCCCACGTCCCAGAGGACCCCTGCCCATGCGCTCCCGGACTCCCTGGTCCTGTGGTCCCTCCACTGTGGTGTGGGTGAGCTGTCCCTGGGAGGACCTGGCAGGCCCCGTGCCCTGCCCCATCACTCAGTGGTGTCTGCTGGCCCTGCAGTACAGCCCCCAGTGTGTGCCTGGCTGCGTGTGCCCCGACGGGCTGGTGGCGGACGGCGAGGGCGGCTGCATCACTGCGGAGGACTGCCCCTGCGTGCACAATGAGGCCAGCTACCGGGCCGGCCAGACCATCCGGGTGGGCTGCAACACCTGGTATGCCGGGGGCTCAAAGCCCATGGGGGGTGTCAGGCCCAGGAAACCAGAGGCCCTCCTTAAAGACGGGCGAGCCCCCAGCACAGGGGTCCCGGGAAAACGCAGGGCACAGACTCAGGGCTGGACGCCACCAGCAGCCCCAGCCAGGGAGGCCCAGTGGGCGCGTGTCTATGGTGCCAGGTCCCCCCAGGGGTAGGAAGGCTGCACCCAGTCAGGCAGGCACCCTGTGTGTGCTCTAGCCTGACCCCCAGATGTCCCCCAGCACCTGTGACAGCAGGATGTGGCGGTGCACAGATGACCCCTGCCTGGCCACCTGCGCCGTGTACGGGGACGGCCACTACCTCACCTTCGACGGACAGAGCTACAGCTTCAACGGAGACTGCGAGTACACGCTGGTGCAGGTGAGCCGGCGCGTTTGGGGTCCTCACGGCGGCCCCCGTGGCCCGAAGCTGCTCACTGCCTCTCTGCGGCTGCCCCAGGGTGCACACAGGTTGTCCCCGCCTCATCCTCCTTGCGGGAAGGAGGGCAGGGCCTGCCTGGTCCTTGATGGCCTCTGCTTCCCCAGAACCACTGTGGCGGGAAAGACAGCACCCAGGACTCCTTTCGTGTTGTCACCGAGAACGTCCCCTGCGGCACCACAGGGACCACCTGCTCCAAGGCCATCAAGATTTTCCTGGGGGTGAGCGAGGCTGGGTGGTCGCATGCCCTCCAGGAGGCTCCCATGGCAGCGTCTGGTCAGGTGGGCTGGGGTTCTTGCTGGGGGCCCTGAGTGACCCCTTGCCATGCAGGGCTTCGAGCTGAAGCTAAGCCATGGGAAGGTGGAGGTGATCGGGACGGACGAGAGCCAGGAGGTGCCATACACCATCCGGCAGATGGGCATCTACCTGGTGGTGGACACCGACATTGGCCTGGTGCTGCTGTGGGACAAGAAGACCAGCATCTTCATCAACCTCAGCCCCGAGTTCAAGGTGAGACCACGCCCCTCGTCCAGGCCAGGGCCGGCTGGAAACCTGGAGGTGGGGAGCGTGGAACAGGTGGGCAGAGACGAGAGGCACAGAGACACAGAGAGAAACACAGAGATGGAAGCGGGGTGGGAAGTGGGGGGGACGGAGCCTTGGCAAGGGCAGCGGGTCAGGAGACTCCTTGGCTGGGTGTCAGTGTTCTGGGGCTAGAGCAAAGGCCCGCACCCTGGCGGATTTGCCCGCAGCCTGGACACTGGAAGTCCAGCAGGGCATCCACAGGGCCGAACTCTTTCAGAAGGCTCTGGGGGGCTCCTTTTGGCCCCTTGCATCTGCCGGGGTCCCCAGCGCTCCTTGGCTGTGGCCACATCACTTGGATCGCCGCCCCGTCTTCACGCAGCCTCCTCCCTGTGACTGGGTCTAAGTTTCCCTCTTTTATAAGGACACCAGGCATTGGATTCAGGACCCACTCATTACCTCAGTCTGCAAGACCCCATCTCCCAGTGAGGTGCCATGCATAGGCGCCGGGGTCAGGACTTAGGCGGGTCCTTCGAGGCCACGTCAGCTTCTTTTTCTCCAGGAGGGGCTTGCCTCTGGCTCCGGCCCTCGGTGCTCAGCTGCACTGCCCGGGGCCTCCCCAGGTGTAGCTGGAGGTGGGAAGGAGGAAGCAGCACCTGTGGTCGCTGTTGGCCACCTGGGTGGGAGGAGGCGGCCGCAGGGCAGGGTGGCCCTGGGTGGGAGGAGGCGGCCTAGGGGCAGGGTGGCTCTGGCCTTCTCGGTTTGCTGCACCCACCTCCACCTCTCCCGGTGCCTCTGCAGGGCAGGGTCTGCGGCCTGTGTGGGAACTTCGACGACATCGCCGTTAATGACTTTGCCACGCGGAGCCGGTCTGTGGTGGGGGACGTGCTGGAGTTTGGGAACAGCTGGAAGCTCTCCCCCTCCTGCCCAGATGCCCTGGCGCCCAAGGACCCCTGCACGGCCAACCCCTTCCGCAAGTCCTGGGCCCAGAAGCAGTGCAGCATCCTCCACGGCCCCACCTTCGCCGCCTGCCACGCACACGTATGCTGGCCGGGGGGCGTTTCTCTGGGCCCAAGGGGGTCATGGTGACCCAAGGAGCCCCCAGAAGGGAGAAGGGAATGGGGTCTGGGAGACAGCTGCCAACCAAGGGTGTGGGCTGCTGGGACTGGCGCTGGTATGGACTCGCCTAGAGGGGCTGGGCTTCCAGCTCTGACACCTGTCAGCTATGGTTTCGGGGCCCTGGGGGGTGTTAACCCCAAGGGCTGCCGAGGAAGCCCCAGGCACTGTGGATATCCAGATGGGCCCAGCCGGCCACTTGGGGATGGGCATTCGCCCTCCCTGAGCTCCACTGGAACTCGGCCCCGGTCAATGTGCCAGCATGGGCCCGGTCCCCAAGAGCCCGCGGGGTGGTGGGGGGGTCCCTGGAACCTGAAGCCCCGTCTCCCTCAGGTGGAGCCGGCCAGGTACTACGAGGCCTGCGTGAACGACGCGTGCGCCTGCGACTCCGGGGGTGACTGCGAGTGCTTCTGCACGGCTGTGGCCGCCTACGCCCAGGCCTGCCATGAAGTAGGCCTGTGTGTGTCCTGGCGGACCCCGAGCATCTGCCGTGAGTGCGAGTGGGCACCTGGGGAAGAACAGGAAGCGCCGGCAGCGTGTGCCCCACCACACTCGCCGCTGATGCGTGGGGTGTGTGGGGCGGGTGGGGAAGGTTTCCAAATAAACAGAAACACCTGGGCCCAGAGAGGAGGGCGTGGCTGACAGAGGGGTCCCTGGCATGGTAGAACGTTCTGGGCAGAGGGGTCAGCAGAGCTGCCCAGCTCTAGAGAGGAGGGCGTGGCTGACAGAGGGGTCGCTGGCATGGTAGAACATTCTGGGCAGAGGGGTCAGCAGAGTTGCCCAGCTCTAGAGAGGAGGGCGTGGCTGATGGAGGGGTCCCTGGCATGGTTGGGCAGAGGGTTCAGCAGAGCTGCCCAGCTCTAGGGAGGAGGGCGTGGCTGACGGAGGGGTCCCTGGCATGGTTGGGCAGAGGGTTCAGCAGAGCTGCCCAGCTCTAGGGAGGAGGGCGTGGCTGACGGGTCGCTGGCGTGGTAGAACGTTCTGGGCAGTGGGGTCAGCAGAGCTGCCCAGCTCTAGCCCACACGGAGCCTTGCCGGGAACGGGCACTGCTGGATCTGCTCTGACTGGAGACCCCACTCTGGTGGCAGCCTCCGTGGCACCCTGATAATTGGGGGGTCCCGATCTGGCCCACCCTCCCCTGTCCCCATCTTGTGATGGCCGGGAGGTGCAGGGGAGGGAAGCGGCTTTAGAACAGCCCTGGGGTGCGGGGCCTCTGCGAGTGAGTTCCTGGGACCCCACCGAGCCCTTCCTTCCTCCCTGCAGCTCTGTTCTGCGACTACTACAACCCCGAAGGCCAGTGCGAGTGGCACTACCAGCCCTGCGGGGTGCCCTGCCTGCGCACCTGCCGGAACCCCCGTGGAGACTGCCTGCGGGACGTCCGGGGCCTGGAAGGTGGGCTGGGGCCGGTCGGAGGGTGGCCTGGGCTCCGCCGCCTGTGGCCTTCTCCTGGCCCCTCGAGGAGCCTCTGTGGCCCCAGCTTCCAGCACATTCTGGTGCTGTCGGCGAGGCCCGCTGCTTGGGGGCTGGGCGGAGCCCTCCAGAGCGAGGTGGACGACACTCGGTCTGGTTGTGACTCTGGCCTCTTTGGCCCACAGGCTGCTACCCCAAGTGCCCACCAGAGGCTCCCATCTTTGATGAGGACAAGATGCAGTGTGTGGCCACCTGCCCAACCCCGCCTCTGCCACCACGGTGCCACGTCCATGGGAAGTCCTACCGGCCAGGTGCAGTGGTGCCCTCGGACAAGAACTGCCAGTCCTGGTGAGTCCTTTGGGGGGAGGAATATGGAGCCTGCAGCATGCAGGGGAATTTGACCACGGCCTGGGCTTTGGGTGGGGCTGGGAGCGGCAGGGCTGGGGACCTCCCCGTTACTGGAGTTGAAGCTTGGGTCCTGTCCTGGCCCAGGCATCTGTGACATCAGCTTCTCAGGGACCAGCACCCCCATGTCCTGAGTCCCAGAGGCGGGACTGGGTGTAGGGCTCCTCTGGGCAGAAAACCAGCACAACCTCTGGGGAGCAGGCTCGAGGGGCTCAGGGGGCGGCAGGGGGAAGCTGGGCCGAGATGGAGCCCTAGGGTCCCCACCGGAAGGATGCCCATTAAAATCACCCCTGGAAAGTAATGGCTCCACTCTGGCACCCACCTCCCCTGACCCCCGACTGGAGGGGCCCCACGAGGGAGGGACCTTGGGCTGACGCTGGAGAGACAACTGCTGGGACCCAGGTGGGGCCGGCCTCCTGTCCCCCAGTCTGGGGGTGCAATGCAGTTCCCAGGGAACTCCACCCCTGTCGGAGCTGCTCCCTGCCCGCCGTTGGTAGCATGGGATGCCCGTGGAAGGCACACGGCCGCCCCCACGCATCGGCCTGCCCTTCTTCCTTGTCTCCAGCCTTTGTACGGAGCGCGGCGTGGAGTGCACCTACAAAGCTGAGGGTGAGCGGCCGGCAGCCCCTGGGGCTGGGGTCCGGGGGTCTCTGTCTGCGCCCAGCCTCTGACGGGCCTGGGCCCTCCGTCCCCATAGCCTGTGTCTGCACCTACAATGGACAGCGCTTCCACCCAGGGGACGTCATCTACCACACGACGGATGGCACGGGTGGCTGCATCTCCGCCCGCTGCGGGGCCAACGGCACCATTGAGAGGAGGGTCTACCCCTGCAGCCCCACCACCCCTGTCCCCCCAACCACCTTCTCCTTCTCCACACCCCCGCTTGGTAAGGCAAATGTGGCCGAGGAGCCCCAGGGTGAGCCCCCTCCCACTGCCTGGCACAGCTGCCCTTGCTGGACGCTGAGGTCACAGCAGCTCTGGGCATGGGCGGCAGCCCCTGAGGATCAAGAAGGGATCGAGGAGCAGGGAGTCGGGCTCGGGGATGACCTGCTGTTTCCCCACCAGCCACCTGCAGTGGGGAGGGCCTGGCCTCCAAGTCACCCCAGCAGGCCTGGCGTCCAAGTCCTGCCCTCAGCAGCCCCCGGGCCTGGCCTCATTGGGGTGTCAGGGGTCTGGCAGCCCAGGCTGGCCCCGGGGATGCATGGCTATCACTTGCCTCACAATGCTCAGGGCTCAGGTACCCCCATGTCCTCGCCCTCTTCTGGGGGATGTCTCAGGGCCCCAAGGCATCATCTGAGCTTCTCTGAGAGTAGAAAGCTCTGGAACTCACGTGTTCTGGGGCACAGATGTGTGGACCCTGCTCAGGGCATGGCCTGGGAGCCACTTCCCTAAAACTCAGTCGGTTCGCCTGGCTCTTCAGAACCTGTGCCGCTCATGTGGGTTCTGAGCAGGGACCGCGGGTGGGGACAGGAAGACAGACCTGCTGGCGCAGCTCCAGACCGGTGACAGAGCCGCAGGGAGGGGCGGGCGGCCCCCAAGTGCGGGCCTCTCATGCTCAGCTGCCTTCTCTTCTGCCCACAGTCGTGAGCTCCACGCACACCCCCAGCAATGGCCCAAGCAGCGCGCACACAGGCCCTCCGAGCAGCGCCTGGCCCACCACAGCAGGCACTTCTCCCAGGACGAGGCTGCCCACAGCCTCTGCCTCACTGCCGCCGGTCTGTGGGGAAAAGTGCCTGTGGTCGCCATGGATGGATGTCAGCCGCCCTGGACGGGGCACGGACAGCGGTGACTTCGACACACTGGAGAACCTCCGCGCCCATGGGTACCGGGTGTGCGAATCACCCAGGTCGGTGGAGTGCCGAGCTGAGGACGCCCCCGGAGTGCCGCTCCGAGCCCTGGGGCAGCGTGTGCAGTGCAGCCCGGATGTGGGGCTGACCTGTCGTAACAGGGAGCAGGCATCGGGGCTCTGCTACAACTACCAGATCAGGGTCCAGTGCTGCACGCCCCTACCCTGCTCCACCTCTAGCAGTCCAGCCCAGACCACTCCTCCAACTACCTCCAAGACCACTGAAACCCGGGCCTCAGGCTCCTCAGCTCCCAGCAGCACACCTGGCACCGTGTCTCTCTCTACAGCCAGGACGACACCTGCCCCAGGTACCGCTACCTCTGTCAAAAAAACTTTCTCAACTCCCAGCCCTCCGCCAGTGCCGGCAACATCAACATCATCCATGTCGACCACGGCCCCGGGGACCTCTGTGGTCTCCAGCAAGCCCACCCCCACGGAGCCCAGCACATCCTCCTGCCTGCAGGAGCTTTGCACCTGGACCGAGTGGATCGATGGCAGCTACCCTGCTCCTGGAATAAATGGTGGAGATTTTGACACATTTCAAAATTTGAGAGACGAAGGATACACATTCTGTGAAAGTCCTCGAAGCGTGCAGTGCCGGGCAGAGAGCTTCCCCAACACGCCGCTGGCAGACCTGGGGCAGGACGTCATCTGCAGCCACACAGAGGGGCTGATTTGCCTGAACAAGAACCAGCTCCCACCCATCTGCTACAACTATGAGATCCGCATCCAGTGTTGCGAGACGGTGAACGTGTGCAGAGACATCACCAGACTGCCAAAGACCGTCGCAACGACACGGCCGACTCCACATCCAACCGGAGCTCAGACCCAGACCACCTTCACCACACACATGCCCTCGGCCTCCACAGAGCAACCCACGGCAACCTCCAGGGGTGGGCCCACAGCAACCAGCGTCACACAGGGCACCCACACCACACTAGTCACCAGAAACTGTCATCCCCGGTGCACCTGGACAAAGTGGTTCGACGTGGACTTCCCGTCCCCCGGACCCCATGGTGGAGACAAGGAAACCTACAACAACATCATCAGGAGTGGGGAAAAAATCTGCCGCCGACCTGAGGAGATCACCAGGCTCCAGTGCCGAGCCAAGAGCCACCCAGAGGTGAGCATCGAACACCTGGGCCAGGTGGTGCAGTGCAGCCGGGAAGAGGGCCTGGTGTGCCGGAACCAGGACCAGCAGGGACCCTTCAAGATGTGCCTCAACTACGAGGTGCGTGTGCTCTGCTGCGAGACCCCCAGAGGCTGCCACATGACCTCCACACCTGGCTCCACCTCTAGCAGTCCAGCCCAGACCACTCCTTCAACAACCTCCAAGACCACTGAAACCCAGGCCTCAGGCTCCTCAGCCCCCAGCAGCACACCTGGCACCGTGTCTCTCTCTACAGCCAGGACGACACCTGCCCCAGGTACCGCTACCTCTGTCAAAAAAACTTTCTCAACTCCCAGCCCTCCGCCAGTGCCGGCAACATCAACATCATCCATGTCGACCACGGCCCCGGGGACCTCTGTGGTCTCCAGCAAGCCCACCCCCACGGAGCCCAGCACATCCTCCTGCCTGCAGGAGCTTTGCACCTGGACCGAGTGGATTGATGGCAGCTACCCTGCTCCTGGAATAAATGGTGGAGATTTTGACACATTTCAAAATTTGAGAGACGAAGGATACACATTCTGTGAAAGTCCTCGAAGCGTGCAGTGCCGGGCAGAGAGCTTCCCCAACACGCCGCTGGCAGACCTGGGGCAGGACGTCATCTGCAGCCACACAGAGGGGCTGATTTGCCTGAACAAGAACCAGCTCCCACCCATCTGCTACAACTATGAGATCCGCATCCAGTGTTGCGAGACGGTGAACGTGTGCAGAGACATCACCAGACCGCCAAAGACCGTCGCAACGACACGGCCGACTCCACATCCAACCGGAGCTCAGACCCAGACCACCTTCACCACACACATGCCCTCGGCCTCCACAGAGCAACCCACGGCAACCTCCAGGGGTGGGCCCACAGCAACCAGCGTCACACAGGGCACCCACACCACACCAGTCACCAGAAACTGTCATCCCCGGTGCACCTGGACAACGTGGTTCGACGTGGACTTCCCGTCCCCCGGACCCCATGGTGGAGACAAGGAAACCTACAACAACATCATCAGGAGTGGGGAAAAAATCTGCCGCCGACCTGAGGAGATCACCAGGCTCCAGTGCCGAGCCAAGAGCCACCCAGAGGTGAGCATCGAACACCTGGGCCAGGTGGTGCAGTGCAGCCGGGAAGAGGGCCTGGTGTGCCGGAACCAGGACCAGCAGGGACCCTTCAAGATGTGCCTCAACTACGAGGTGCGTGTGCTCTGCTGCGAGACCCCCAAAGGCTGCCCCGTGACCTCCACACCTGTGACAGCTCCTAGCACCCCTAGTGGGAGAGCCACCAGCCCAACTCAGAGCACCTCCTCTTGGCAGAAATCCAGGACAACCACTTTGGTGACAACCAGCACAACCTCCACTCCACAGACCAGTACAACCTATGCCCATACAACCAGCACAACCTCTGCTCCTACAGCCAGAACAACCTCTGCTCCTACAACCAGAACAACCTCTGCCTCTCCAGCCAGCACAACCTCTGGTCCTGGAAATACTCCCAGCCCTGTTCCTACCACCAGCACAATCTCTGCTCCTACAACTAGCATAACCTCTGCCCCTACAACCAGCACAACCTCTGCCCCTACAAGCAGCACAACCTCTGGTCCTGGAACTACTCCCAGCCCTGTTCCTACCACCAGCATAACCTCTGCCCCTACAACCAGCACAACCTCTGCTCCTACAACCAGCACAACCTCTGCCCGTACAAGCAGCACAACCTCTGCCACTACCACCAGCAGAATCTCTGGTCCTGAAACTACTCCCAGCCCTGTTCCTACCACCAGCACAACCTCTGCCACTACAACCAGCACAACCTCAGCTCCTACAACCAGCACAACCTCTGCCCCTACAAGCAGCACAACCTCCAGTCCACAGACCAGCACAACCTCGGCTCCTACAACCAGCACAACTTCTGGTCCTGGAACTACCCCAAGCCCTGTTCCCACGACCAGCACAACCTCTGCCCCTACAACAAGAACAACTTCTGCTCCTAAAAGCAGCACAACCTCTGCCGCTACAACCAGCACAACCTCTGGTCCTGAAACTACTCCTAGACCTGTTCCTACCACCAGCACAACCTCTTCTCCTACAACCAGCACAACCTCTGCTCCTACAACCAGCACAACCTCTGCTTCTACAACCAGCACAACCTCTGGTGCTGGAACTACTCCCAGCCCTGTTCCCACCACCAGCACAACCTCTGCTCCTACAACCAGCACAACCTCTGCCCCTATAAGCAGCACAACCTCTGCCACTACAACCAGCACAACCTCTGGTCCTGGAACTACTCCCAGCCCTGTTCCTACCACGAGCACAACCTCTGCTCCTACAACCAGCACAACCTCTGGTCCTGGAACTACTCCCAGTGCTGTTCCCACCACCAGCATAACCTCTGCACCTACAACCAGCACAAACTCTGCCCCTATAAGCAGCACAACCTCTGCCACTACAACCAGCAGAATCTCTGGTCCTGAAACTACTCCCAGCCCTGTTCCTACCGCCAGCACAACCTCTGCTTCTACAACTAGCACAACCTCTGGTCCTGGAACTACTCCCAGCCCTGTTCCTACCACCAGCACAATCTCTGTTCCTACCACCAGCACAACTTCTGCTTCTACAACCAGCACAACCTCTGCTTCTACAACCAGCACAACCTCTGGTCCTGGAACTACTCCCAGCCCTGTTCCCACCACCAGCACAACCTCTGCTCCCACAACAAGCACAACCTCTGCCCCTACAACCAGCACAATCTCGGCCCCAACAACCAGCACAACCTCTGCCACTACAACCAGCACGACCTCTGCTCCTACACCCAGAAGAACCTCAGCCCCTACAACCAGCACAATCTCTGCCTCTACCACCAGCACAACCTCTGCGACTACAACCAGCACAACCTCTGCTACTACAACCAGCACAATCTCTGCCCCTACAACCAGCACAACTTTGTCTCCTACAACCAGCACAACCTCTACTACTATAACCAGCACAACTTCTGCCCCTATAAGCAGCACAACTTCCACACCACAGACCAGCACAACTTCGGCTCCTACAACCAGCACAACTTCTGGTCCTGGAACTACTTCAAGCCCTGTTCCCACCACCAGCACAACCTCTGCCCCTACAACCAGCACAACCTCTGCCCCTACAACCAGAACAACCTCTGTCCCTACAAGCAGCACAACCTCCACTGCTACAACCAGCACAACCTCTGGCCCTGGAACTACTCCCAGCCCTGTTCCCACCACCAGTACAACCTCTGCTCCTACAACCAGAACAACCTCTGCTCCTACAACCAGCACAACCTCTGCCCCTACAACCAGCACAACCTCTGCCCCTACAAGCAGCACAACCTCAGCTACTACAACCAGCACAATCTCTGTTCCTACAACCAGCACAACTTCTGTTCCTGGAACTACTCCCAGCCCTGTTCCTACCACCAGCACAATCTCTGTTCCTACCACCAGCACAACTTCTGCTTCTACAACCAGCACAACCTCTGGTCCTGGAACTACTCCCAGCCCTGTTCCCACCACCAGCACAACCTCTGCTCCCACAACAAGCACAACCTCTGCCCCTACAACCAGCACAATCTCGGCCCCAACAACCAGCACACCCTCTGCCCCTACAACCAGCACAACCTTAGCTCCTACAACCAGCACAACCTCTGCCCCTACAACCAGCACAACCTCTACCCCTACAAGCAGCACAACCTCCTCTCCACAGACCAGCACAACCTCGGCTTCTACCACCAGCATAACTTCTGGTCCTGGAACTACCCCAAGCCCTGTTCCCACCACCAGCACAACCTCTGCTCCTACAACCAGCACAACCTCTGCCGCTACAACCAGCACAATCTCGGCCCCAACAACCAGCACAACGTCTGCTCCTACAACCAGCACAACCTCTGCCTCTACAGCCAGCAAAACCTCTGGTCTTGGAACTACTCCCAGCCCTATTCCTACCACCAGCACAACCTCTCCTCCTACAACCAGCACAACTTCTGCCTCTACAGCCAGCAAAACCTCTGGTCCTGGAACCACTCCCAGCCCTGTTCCCACCACCAGCACAATCTTTGCTCCTAGAACCAGCACCACTTCTGCCTCTACAACCAGCACAACCCCTGGTCCTGGAACCACTCCCAGCCCCGTTCCCACCACCAGCACAGCCTCTGTTTCAAAGACCAGCACAAGCCATGTTTCCATATCCAAGACAACCCACTCCCAACCAGTCACCAGAGACTGTCATCTCCGGTGCACCTGGACCAAGTGGTTTGACATAGACTTCCCATCCCCTGGACCCCACGGCGGGGACAAGGAAACCTACAACAACATCATCAGGAGTGGGGAAAAAATCTGCCGCCGACCTGAGGAGATCACCAGGCTCCAGTGCCGAGCCGAGAGCCACCCGGAGGTGAGCATTGAACACCTGGGCCAGGTGGTGCAGTGCAGCCGTGAAGAGGGCCTGGTGTGCCGGAACCAGGACCAGCAGGGACCCTTCAAGATGTGCCTCAACTACGAGGTGCGTGTGCTCTGCTGCGAGACCCCTAAAGGTTGCCCCGTGACCTCCACACCTGTGACAGCTCCTAGCACCCCTAGTGGGAGAGCCACCAGCCCAACTCAGAGCACTTCCTCTTGGCAGAAATCCAGGACAACCACTTTGGTGACAACCAGCACAACCTCCACTCCACAGACCAGCACAACCTCTGCTCCTACAACCAGCACAACCTCTGCTCCCACAACCAGCACAACTTCTGCCCCTACAACCAGCACAACCTCCACTCCACAGACCAGCATATCCTCTGCCCCTACAAGCAGCACAACCTCGGCTCCTACAAGCAGCACAATCTCTGCTCGTACAACCAGCATAATCTCTGCCCCTACAACCAGCACAACCTCTTCCCCTACAACCAGCACAACCTCTGCTACTACAACCAGCACAACCTCTGCCCCTACAAGCAGCACAACCTCCACTCCACAGACCAGCAAAACCTCAGCTGCTACAAGCAGCACAACCTCCGGTTCTGGAACTACTCCCAGCCCTGTTACCACCACCAGCACAGCCTCTGTTTCAAAGACCAGCACAAGCCATGTTTCTGTATCCAAGACAACCCACTCCCAACCAGTCACCAGAGACTGTCATCCCCGGTGCACCTGGACCAAATGGTTTGATGTGGACTTTCCATCCCCTGGACCCCACGGTGGGGACAAGGAAACCTACAACAACATCATCAGGAGTGGGGAAAAAATCTGCCGCCGACCTGAGGAGATCACCAGGCTCCAGTGCCGAGCCAAGAGCCACCCGGAGGTGAGCATCGAACACCTGGGCCAGGTGGTGCAGTGCAGCCGCGAAGAGGGCCTGGTGTGCCGGAACCAGGACCAGCAGGGACCCTTCAAGATGTGCCTCAACTACGAGGTGCGTGTGCTTTGCTGCGAGACCCCCAAAGGCTGCCCCGTGACCTCCACATCTGTGACAGCTCCTAGCACCCCTAGTGGGAGAGCCACCAGCCCAACTCAGAGCACCTCCTCTTGGCAGAAATCCAGGACAACCACTTTGGTGACAAGCAGCATAACCTCCACTACACAGACCAGCACAACCTCTGCCCCTACAACTAGCACAACCCCTGCTTCTATACCCAGCACAACCTCTGCCCCAACAACCAGCACAACCTCTGCTCCCACAACGAGCACAACTTCTGCCCCTACAACCAGCACAACCTCCACTCCACAGACCACCACATCCTCTGCCCCTACAAGCAGCACAACCTCGGCTCCTACCACCAGCACAATCTCTGCCCCTACAACCAGCACAATCTCTGCCCCTACAACCAGCACAACCTCTGCTCCCACAGCCAGCACAACGTCAGCTCCTACGAGCACTTCCTCGGCTCCTACAACCAACACAACCTCTGCCCCTACAACTAGCACTACCTCTGCTCCCATAACCAGCACAATCTCTGCCCCTACAACCAGCACAACCTCCACTCCACAGACCAGCACAATCTCTTCCCCTACAACCAGCACAACCTCCACTCCGCAGACCAGCACAACCTCTTCCCCTACAACTAGCACAACCTCAGCTCCTACAACCAGCACAACTTCTGCCCCTACAACCAGCACAACCTCCACTCCACAGACCAGCATATCCTCTGCCCCTACAAGCAGCACAACCTCTGCTCCTACAGCCAGCACAATCTCTGCCCCTACAACCAGCACAACCTCTTTCCATACAACCAGCACAACCTCTCCCCCTACAAGCAGCACAAGCTCCACTCCACAGACCAGCAAAACCTCAGCTGCTACAAGCAGCACAACCTCCGGTTCTGGAACTACTCCCAGCCCCGTTCCCACCACCAGCACAGCCTCTGTTTCAAAGACCAGCACAAGCCATGTTTCTGTATCCAAGACAACCCACTCCCAACCAGTCACCAGAGACTGTCATCCCCGGTGCACCTGGACCAAGTGGTTTGACGTGGACTTTCCATCCCCTGGACCCCACGGTGGGGACAAGGAAACCTACAACAACATCATCAGGAGTGGGGAAAAAATCTGCCGCCGACCTGAGGAGATCACCAGGCTCCAGTGCCGAGCCGAGAGCCACCCGGAGGTGAGCATCGAACACCTGGGCCAGGTGGTGCAGTGCAGCCGGGAAGAGGGCCTGGTGTGCCGGAACCAGGACCAGCAGGGACCCTTCAAGATGTGCCTCAACTACGAGGTGCGTGTGCTCTGCTGCGAGACCCCCAAAGGCTGCCCCGTGACCTCCACACCTGTGACAGCTCCTAGCACCCCTAGTGGGAGAGCCACCAGCCCAACTCAGAGCACTTCCTCTTGGCAGAAATCCAGGACAACCACTTTGGTGACAACCAGCACAACCTCCACTCCACAGACCAGCACAACCTCTGCCCCTACAACCAGCACAATCCCTGCTTCTACACCCAGCACAACCTCTGCCCCTACAACCAGCACAACCTCTGCCCCTACAACCAGCACGACCTCAGCTCCTACACACAGAACGACTTCTGGTCCTACAACCAGCACAACCTTGGCTCCTACAACCAGCACAACCTCTGCTCCAACAACCAGCACAAACTCTGCTCCTACAACCAGCACAATCTCTGCCTCTACAACCAGCACAATCTCTGCCCCTACAACCAGCACAATCTCTTCCCCTACAAGCAGCACAACCTCCACTCCACAGACCAGCAAAACCTCAGCTGCTACAAGCAGCACAACCTCCGGTTCTGGAACTACTCCAAGCCCTGTTCCCACCACCAGCACAACCTCTGCCTCTACAACCAGCACAACTTCTGCTCCTACAACCAGCACAACCTCTGGTCCTGGAACTACTCCAAGCCCTGTTCCCAGCACCAGTACAACCTCTGCTGCTACAACCAGCACAACCTCTGCTCCTACAACCAGAACAACATCTGCTCCTACAAGCAGCATGACCTCTGGTCCTGGAACTACTCCCAGCCCTGTTCCCACCACCAGCACAACCTCTGCTCCTACAACTAGCACAACCTCTGGTCCTGGAACTACTCCCAGCCCTGTTCCCACCACCAGCACAACCTCTGCTCCTATAACCAGCACAACCTCTGGTCCTGGAAGTACTCCCAGCCCTGTTCCCACCACCAGCACAACCTCTGCTCCTACAACCAGCACAACCTCTGCCTCTACAGCCAGCACAACCTCTGGTCCTGGAACTACTCCCAGCCCTGTTCCCACCACCAGCACAACCTCTGCTCCTACAACCAGAACAACCTCTGCCTCTACAGCCAGCACAACCTCTGGTCCTGGAAGTACTCCCAGCCCTGTTCCCACCACCAGCACAACCTCTGCTCCTACAACCAGAACAACCCCTGCCTCTACAGCCAGCACAACCTCTGGTCCTGGAACTACTCCCAGCCCTGTTCCCACCACAAGCACAACCTCTGCTTCTACAACCAGCACAATCTCTCTCCCTACAACCAGCACAACCTCTGCTCCTATAACCAGCATGACCTCTGGTCCTGGAACTACTCCCAGCCCTGTTCCCACCACCAGCACAACCTCTGCTCCTACAACCAGCACAACCTCTGCCTCTACAGCCAGCACAACCTCTGGTCCTGGAACTACTCCCAGCCCTGTTCCCACCACCAGCACAACCTCTGCTCCTACAACCAGCACAACCTCTGCCTCTACAGCCAGCACAACCTCTGGTCCTGGAACTTCTCTCAGCCCTGTTCCCACCACGAGCACAACCTCTGCTCCTACAACTAGCACAACCTCTGGTCCTGGAACTACTCCCAGCCCTGTTCCCACCACCAGCACAACCTCTGCTCCTACAACCAGCACGACCTCTGGTCCTGGAACTACTCCCAGCCCCGTTCCCACCACCAGCACAACCCCTGTTTCAAAGACCAGCACAAGCCATCTTTCTGTATCCAAGACAACCCACTCCCAACCAGTCACCAGTGACTGTCATCCTCTGTGCGCCTGGACAAAGTGGTTCGACGTGGACTTCCCATCCCCTGGACCCCACGGCGGGGACAAGGAAACCTACAACAACATCATCAGGAGTGGGGAAAAAATCTGCCGCCGACCTGAGGAGATCACCAGGCTCCAGTGCCGAGCCGAGAGCCACCCGGAGGTGAACATTGAACACCTGGGTCAGGTGGTGCAGTGCAGCCGTGAAGAGGGCCTGGTGTGCCGGAACCAGGACCAGCAGGGACCCTTCAAGATGTGCCTCAACTACGAGGTGCGCGTGCTCTGCTGCGAGACCCCCAGAGGCTGCCCGGTGACCTCTGTGACCCCATATGGGACTTCTCCTACCAATGCTCTGTATCCTTCCCTGTCTACTTCCATGGTATCCGCCTCCGTGGCATCCACCTCTGTGGCATCCAGCTCTGTGGCATCCAGCTCTGTGGCTTACTCCACCCAAACCTGCTTCTGCAACGTGGCTGACCGGCTCTACCCTGCAGGTTCGTGAGTGTTTCTGGTGCAATTGTTTCTGAGCTCACCCTGGTCAGTTTTTTATCCAGGAACGCCAAGCTGTGATGATGATAGGAGTCTCTGCTCTTTGTGGCACAGGCTCATTGTCACAGAGTGGCTGCTGGCATTCTCTGAAATTTTTTCCCATTACACAGGTGGTAGAAAGTGCCCCTCTGGCTCTGGGAGTTTTTTGCTTCTCCTTTGAGCAGGACTCCACTAAAGGCTGCCATGTCCCTTCCTCTTACAGGATCCACCATATACCGCCACAGAGACCTCGCTGGCCATTGCTATTATGCCCTGTGTAGCCAGGACTGCCAAGTGGTCAGAGGGGTTGACAGTGACTGTCCGTCCACCACGCTGCCTCCTGCCCCAGCCACGTCCCCTTCAATATCCACCTCCGAGCCCGTCACTGAGCTGGGATGCCCAAATGCGGTTCCCCCCAGAAAGGTAACCCCCTACTTCTCACCCTTCTGAAGGCTCAGGGGCTCCTACAGGGAACTTGAATGTCTTTGCAATTAGTCTTCAGCTGCAAAGTCTTGAGAAGGTCACTGGCGCTAGTGGAGGCAGCCCGGCCGTCAGGAGAGGGCCATGCTGTAGCCCGGCGTCTCTGATCACCCTGGGCTTCCCAGGCACGTGCTTTCCAGACACTGGGTGTGTGGGGCCGAAGGCTGAGGCTGTGCTGAGGACAGCCAGGGCCAGAGCAGGTGGATGAGGCTGCACAGCCAGGGAGTGTGGCAGAGCCAGGGAGGAGCCACTCCCACACCAGAGGCCCCTGCCCGGGCCAGCTCGGTGTCTGGGGTGGGTGCTGAGGGTGGGGCAGGAAGGAAACTGGGGCACAGCCACCCTCCCCTGTCCCCACACGGGACTCTCGGGACTGTGACCCCGAGAACCAAGGGGTGCCCCGGAGATCGGGAGAGGCCGGACCCTGCAGGTCTCTGTGCTTCTGCAGAAAGGTGAGACCTGGGCCACACCCAACTGCTCCGAGGCCACCTGTGAGGGCAACAACGTCATCTCCCTGCGCCCGCGCACGTGCCCGAGGGTGGAGAAGCCCACTTGTGCCAACGGCTACCCGGCTGTGAAGGTGGCTGACCAAGATGGCTGCTGCCATCACTACCAGTGCCAGTGTGAGTGGAGCGCCGAGCGGGACCCAGGGCAGCCGGGGCAGCCACTCCCCACCCAGGTGGAAATGGGCGGGGCAGAGGAGGGGGCTTGGCTGAAGCAGAAAAGAATTGGGTGGGACAGCAGGAAGGACTTCCCAGCATCAAGGCGGGGCCGCATGGGGCCGAGCCTCCCCGCTTAGGGGTGCTGAGTGAATCCCTGTGAGCCTCGGAGCAGCCTGGCTGGAGAAGGTGGAGGAGTCTGTCCCTGCCTCGCTCCAGCCTTGTCAAGCGCCCGCTGGATGGAGCTCTGTGCGGACGCTGGCCACGTGTGTTCTGATGACGTGAGGGTCTTGTGCGCCCTGTGAGATGAGACGGTGGGGGGTCAGGGACAGATGTGACCTGTTGGGAGGAAAGCCCCAGGGCCATGGTGCCACCACCCGAGCCACCCGTAAGGCTGCCCCTGGGGCCTGGCAGGTGTGTGCAGCGGCTGGGGTGACCCCCACTACATCACCTTCGACGGCACCTACTACACCTTCCTGGACAACTGCACGTACGTGCTGGTGCAGCAGATTGTGCCCGTGTATGGCCACTTCCGCGTGCTCGTCGACAACTACTTCTGCGGTGCGGAGGACGGGCTCTCCTGCCCGAGGTCCATCATCCTGGAGTACCACCAGGACCGCGTGGTGCTGACCCGCAAGCCAGTCCACGGGGTGATGACAAACGAGGTGGGGGCGCGCCCGGTGTGCCGCGGAGGGGGTGGGGGACGCGGCTTTCCCGGCAAGAGCCTGAGCAGCGGCTGACCGCCCGCCCGCCTGCCTTCTGACTTCCCGTCGACCACGCCCTGCGTCCAGATCATCTTCAACAACAAGGTGGTCAGCCCCGGCTTCCGGAAAAACGGCATCGTGGTCTCGCGCATCGGCGTCAAGATGTACGCGACCATCCCGGAGCTGGGAGTCCAGGTCATGTTCTCCGGCCTCATCTTCTCCGTGGAGGTGCCCTTCAGCAAGTTTGCCAACAACACCGAGGGCCAGTGCGGTGAGGCCACAGGGCTCCCGGGCATCGTCTGGCATTCGCGGGGGCGGGGGTGCCGGGCAGGGGCGAGGCCACCACGTGCCGCGTGTGCCGGTGTCTCTGCTTTCTGGCTGCTCTGCTGAGTGCAGGCCACAGGCATGAGGCTTACGCCTGCCGGTACCTGCAGCTCCCCAGTACCATAGGGACTGTCCCAGGGTTGTTCTCGGGGGACAGTGAGGCACAGGCAGGGCCCGCTGCAGTTCACCAAGTTGTGACCCTGAGACACCAGGGTCCTGTCCCCCAGCTGGGGGTGGGGCCAGCCGGCTCTGCTGTCCAGCAGCCTGACCCCCACCGCGTCTGCCCAGGCACTTGCACCAACGACAGGAAGGATGAGTGCCGCACGCCTAGGGGGACGGTGGTCGCTTCCTGCTCCGAGATGTCCGGCCTCTGGAACGTGAGCATACCCGACCAGCCAGCCTGCCACCGGCCTCACCCGACGCCCACCACGGTCGGGCCCACCACAGTTGGGTCTACCACGGTCGGGCCCACCACAGTTGGGTCTACCACGGTCGGGCCCACCACACCGCCTGCTCCGTGCCTGCCATCACCCATCTGCCAGCTGATTCTGAGCAAGTGAGACTTGGGTGCAAGGGAGGGAGGGTCAGTGTGGCCGCCCCACCTCCCACCCTTCCAAGGGCTGGAGGGGAAGAAGCGCATTTTCAGGGGGCTCCTGAGAGGAAACGAGAGCTGCTGGTACCACAGACCAAGGAGGGGTGGGTGTTGGGGAGAAGTGGGTGCCGGGGAGGGGTGGGCAGTGGGGAGGGGCGGGTGCCGGGAAGGGGTGGTTGTGGCTGGAATGCTGCCAAGGGGTCACCAGGGTTGGCCGGCTGGGCCGTCTCTGAGGCTCTCTGCTGGCTCAGGTGTATGGACGGGGGCATCGGTCACCACCCCCAGGCAGCTTCCAGGTTTGCAGGGCAGGGGCTGGGGGGGCCAGGAAGAAGAACTTGCAGAAATAAATGGATGATGCCATCTGGACCCCCACCCCCCGCCCCCAAGCACACAGAATGTGTGGAAGGAGCCCGTCCGGGGATACAGGAGGGCGGCCACACACCAGTGGCTGCTCTGGGACTCGCCTCGCCTGGAGACTGCCCTGAAGCCTGGGAGCCTGACGTGGAGCAGGCAGGTGGCCGGAGAGGCTGCACCCAGCACCCTGCCCATCCCTCCCACAGGGTCTTTGAGCCGTGCCACACTGTGATCCCCCCACTGCTGTTCTATGAGGGCTGCGTCTTTGACCGGTGCCACATGACGGACCTGGATGTGGTGTGCTCCAGCCTGGAGCTGTACGCGGCACTCTGTGCGTCCCACGACATCTGCATCGATTGGAGAGGCCGGACCGGCCACATGTGCCGTGAGTGCCACCACTGTCCTCAGGGTCCCAAGTCGCTTGTGAGGGGCACAGGCACGCCGGACGGACCAACAGGGTGGGCTCGGGCAGTCAGGGGGGGACCTGGAGGAGGAGGGGGCAGCCCCAGGGCAGAGTGCACCCAGTTCCCTGGAGAGAAGGGAGGGCGTCCACGTCTGGGAGCCCGTGGCGGGGCACTGGGGTGTGGGAGGCCGTAGCCAGGCCCAGGCCCACAGGTGGCTGCGGGCAGCTCCGGAGCAGATGTTGGTGCCCAGCGGCCCGCGTTGCTCTGGGTGGGTGCCCTCCCACCCTCTCAGGTGTGGCTTCCCCTCCCCACAGCATTCACCTGCCCAGCCGACAAGGTGTACCAGCCCTGCGGCCCGAGCAACCCCTCCTACTGCTACGGGAATGACAGCGCCAGCCTCGGGTAGGCACCCTCCCTCCTGGCCCTGCCATGGGCTGCTGGAGCCACCCAGTCCCCAGCCTCCCGCTGCATCTCCCACTCCCAGGCTGGGGTCCTTCTCACCGGAGGGAAAAAGGAGACCCACCAACCCTATGCTCTCTACAGGGCTCTGCCGGAGGCCGGCCCCATCACCGAAGGCTGCTTCTGTCCGGAGGGCATGACCCTCTTCAGCACCAGTGCCCAAGTCTGCGTGCCCACGGGCTGCCCCAGTACGTGCCCCAGGCCGGGGCTGGGGGGTGTGGCAGGACTGGGCCTGTGACTGTTGGCCAGGTCCTGGGGTCTACCCTGGCCCCAATATGGGACCCTGCCTCTCGCCCCTATTGTGGTGGCTGACCCCCAGTAACCTCAGATCTCTCTCCTTCCAGGGTGTCTGGGGCCCCACGGAGAGCCGGTGAAGGTGAGTGGAAGGCATGGCCCAAGAGGGCACTGGGGTCCAAGAGCCCGAGGAGGGAGGCTCTTGAAACACCGGCCCCAGAAATGGTCAGGTGGGGCTCAGGGGTCGGGGTGTCCTCTCTGTGTCAGAGGCCCAGAGAAAGGGCTGCGGGAGGAGCCGGGCTCCCAGAAAGACTCGGGATCTCCCTTCCCAGGTACCCACTCTGTCCGTATTGGGGACGGTGCCGGGGCGTCTGTCCTGGTGTTGCTCTGTGGGTGGGTGCTGGCCCCGAGGCTGGCTGTGCTCTTCCCTTCCTTGGGACGCCCCTTCTGCCCAGCCAAGACTGTGGAGGTGTGAGGTGGGGGGCGCAGGCCAGTCACCCCACAGCCTGCCCACCTTGCAGAGCTTTGTGCCCATCCCTGGGCCCTACCCTGCACTTTTGAAGCCCTACTCCTGCTGGGTCCTCAGTGCAGGCCACACGGCCTCCACACCTGGCTGCCCCGGCACTGCATGAGCCGGGGTGGCTGCTGCACCCCTGGGTGGAGCCGCTGCGGACGCTGGACCTCAGTCCCCTTCCTTGCAGGTGGGCCACACCGTCGGCATGGACTGCCAGGAGTGCACGTGTGAGGCGGCCACGTGGACGCTGACCTGCCGACCCAAGCTCTGCCCGCTGCCCCCTGCCTGCCCCCTGCCCGGCTTCGTGCCTGTGCCTGCAGCCCCACAGGCCGGCCAGTGCTGCCCCCAGTACAGCTGCGGTAAGCCCTTTGCTGGGTGAGGGGCATGGTGTGGCAGGCAGGTGACCCGGAGCCCACTCGGCCCGGACTTTGCTGCTGCCTTGGGGCGTGCACCTGGGGACAGTGCCTACGAGGGCGTCCCCTCCTCCGCTTCCGCAACAGCCTCATCTGGAGACCCCCGAGCGGGCTGTCTAGGCGGTCCGCAATCCTAGAGACCCCAGGGGGTGGGCCTTCGGGTGGGGGCGGGGGACAGACTCCTAATTGCCTCACTCCCGCCCCCGCAGCCTGCAACACCAGCCGCTGCCCCGCGCCCGTGGGCTGTCCTGAGGGCGCCCGCGCGATCCCGACCTACCAGGAGGGGGCCTGCTGCCCAGTCCAAAACTGCAGTGAGTGGCCTGGACCAGGCCCTGTCAGGGGCCGTGGGCTGGGGTCTCCACCTGGGATTTTGGGGGGCCATAACCAGATGCCAGTGCGGCTTGTCCACTGCGGGTCTGTGGCTCTGGACTGAGCCTTCCGCAGAGATGAGGCTGGACAAACCCCAGTGGCGAGCCCGGGAATGAGGCGCCCAGGAGGCTGCAGGGGCGGGAATGCTGAGGGTGAGGGGAGAGTGGGCGGCGGGGGGTGCAGCTGCTTGTCTTCTCGTGGGCAGGCTGGACAGTGTGCAGCATCAACGGGACCCTGTACCAGGTAAGAGCCACGGAGCTCAGACCCCCTCAGCCATAGGGACGGAGCTTCCCACTGACCCTGAGGCCCAGGTAGACTTTGGAGCAACTGCCAACTCCGGCCGAGGCCAGGGACTCGAGTCTCTGCAGACACAGCCCACTATCAAGTGTGGCTGAGGCCCGAGGTCGGCCCCAGGTCCCGGAAATATGGACATCTACACCCTGGCCTGCCTGGCTCCGGGGGGCTCCGGGGGACTTTGCCTCTCCTGGCACCACAGCACAGCCAGGCCTGGATCCCACGGCTCTGTCCTGAGCCGGCTGAGTATGTGGCCCTGCAGAGTGTGTGGCCTTGTTGGGCACCCCATCCAAGGGGGTGCAGCGTGGGGCTCTGCTCTAGGGATGGGGACCCTGGGCTGTGGCCTCTGCACCAAGAGGTGCCACCACGAGTCACCCCAGGGGTGCAACTCGGCCTGGTAGGAAGCGGCCTGGAGGGGGATGTCTGGGAAGTTGGGGGCAGCAAGCCAGTGGGGAGGCAGGGGCGGGTCTCCCCAGGGCCCAAGCTCATGAGTGTCTGCTGCCCTGGCTCTCCCCAGCCCGGCGCCGTGGTCTCCTCGAGCCTGTGCGAAACCTGCAGGTGTGAGCTGCCGGGTGGCCCCCCATCGGACGCGTTTGTGGTCAGCTGTGAGACCCAGATCTGCAACACACACTGCCCTGTGGTGAGCGCTCCCACCCTGCCCCGACCCTGCCCTGGCTCTTGGGGGGCAGCGGTCGCCTGGATTCCAGCCACATGTCCATCCCTCCCGCAGGGCTTCGAGTACCAGGAGCAGAGCGGGCAGTGCTGTGGCACCTGTGTGCAGGTCGCCTGTGTCACCAACACCAGCAAGAGCCCCGCCCACCTCTTCTACGTGAGTAGTGGCTGCCACAAAGAGGAAGGGCAGGGTCTGGGAGCACTGGGGCATGTGGGGACCTGTCGTTGCCAGGCATGCGTCTGGCAGAGGCTGGGGACTCTCTGGAAGCCCACGGGCTGGGGTGCAGACAGAGGGACAGACGGAGGGAGGGTCACTCACCCCGGGGCCTGGCCTCCCTCCAGCCCGGCGAGACCTGGTCAGACGCAGGGAACCACTGTGTGACCCACCAGTGTGAGAAGCACCAGGATGGGCTCGTGGTGGTCACCACGAAGAAGGCGTGCCCCCCGCTCAGCTGTTCTCTGGTGAGGTCCAGGATCCCCGCTCCAGCCAAGGGGGGCTTCACCCCTAGATGGGTTTGGGGGGCTGTGATCATCCCTGCAGCGCCAGCAGACACCCCCTCCTGCTTGGGGCTGTCCACTCCTGAGCCTGGCCCCATGTCCCCATCCCTCACTTCTGTGGGGGCCGCCGAGCGCCTCGGCACTGAGGGCGCCCCTCTGTCGGCACAGGACGAGGCCCGCATGAGCAAGGACGGCTGCTGCCGCTTCTGCCCGCCGCCCCCGCCCCCGTACCAGAACCGTGAGTACCCAGCCTGCTGGGCGGGGCGGGCTCCACCCTCAGAGGTCTAGGAGCAGCTGGGCTGGTCCTAAACCCTGTGTTCCTCTCCAGAGTCGACCTGTGCTGTGTACCATAGGAGCCTGATCATCCAGCAGCAGGGCTGCAGCTCCTCGGAGCCCGTGCGCCTGGCTTACTGCCGGGGGAACTGTGGGGACAGCTCTTCCATGTACGTGCCTGGGCAGCAGGCAGGGAGACGCGATTGGCTGTGGGGTGCAGTCAGGGCCCCCAGGGCTCTAGGTGCCAGATAGACGAGGGGCAGGACCATGAGGGGCCAGGCAAAGGGCTCTGAGGGTGAGGCGGGAAAGGGGTCCTGAGATGGCAAGGGTGGGGCTGGGGTAACTACATCCCCAGAGCCTGTGTCGGCATCACGCTCTCCTGTTTACTGAGCTCCGCCAGGAACTTGCCGCAGCCGCCCCGAGTCTCCCTCCCTCCCATCAGCACGGAGCCGGGGTCGGCCCTGGTGGGACTGTTGGCGCCTGGGGAACTGGCAAAGGAGAGCTGGTTGTCAGACACTGGCAGCATGCCTCCAGGAGCAGGGAACACGATGAGGCCGCCCAGAGCTCGGCACGGCGCCGGCTTACGGCAGGAGGCTGGGGTGGCGCAGCAGCTGGTGCTGAGCAGCCCCTGCCCACAGGTACTCGCTCGAGGGCAACACGGTGGAGCACAGGTGCCAGTGCTGCCAGGAGCTGCGGACCTCGCTGAGGAATGTGACCCTGCACTGCACCGACGGCTCCAGCCGGGCCTTCAGCTACACCGAGGTGGAAGAGTGCGGCTGCATGGGCCGGCGGTGCCCTGCGCCGGGCGACACCCAGCACTCGGAGGAGGCGGAACCCGAGCCCAGCCAGGAGGCAGAGAGTGGGAGCTGGGAGAGAGGCGTCCCAGTGTCCCCCATGCACTGACCAGCACTGCCGCCCTCCTGACCTCCAAGGAGAACCTCCCATATGTCCTCTGAGCTCGGCTTCCAAGGCCAGTGGAACTTGTGCCCCTGTCCAGGCGGCTGCAGCTTTGAACACACTGTCCACGCCCGCTTTCTTGTGGAGGGTGTGGGCTATGGGTCACCTGCTGCCTGGAGGAGGGGCCCTTACCCACCCCGCCTGCAGCCACCTCTCAGGACCAGCCCCGGGGCTGGCCGAGCTCCTCTGGCCATGCATCCAGCCTGCTGTTCTGGGGACGTGAGCATCACCTGAGGGTCTCAGGAATGACGCTTGGACATGGTGATCAGCTGCCTGGTGGCTGCAGGAGGAAGAACCTCACTCCTACCTCAGCCCTCAGCCTGCGCTCCCCTCCTCAGTACACGGCCAATCTGTTGCATAAATACACTTGAGCATTTTGCAATTTGTGGACTGTGCATTTTTTGAGATTGTTCATAAAATCCAGGAATAGGGTGGGGGCAAACCCGGGCCCTGTGGGGTGCACACCTCAGGCCAGCCACCCAGTACTGGGCAGCCCTGCTGCTTCTGTGGGCTGGCTGGGACAGTGTCTCTCTGCTCAGAGAGGAGAGGCCAGAGCTTGGATCTGCCCCAAGAAGAGACCACCACCCTGCAGAGGTCTTTGAGGGCTTGGCTGCAGTCTAGAGTCCAGGATGCATCTGTTCAGAACACAGAGAGTGAGTGAATGAGAGTGAGAGAATGAATGAGTGAATAAATGGGTGAGTGAATAAGTGAGTGCATGAGTGAGTGAATGAATAAGTGAATGTGTGAGTGAGTGCATGTGAGTGAGTGAATGTGAGTGAATGAATGTGAGTGAATAAGTGAGTGACTGAGTGAATGAGTGAATGAATGAGTGAATGAGTGAGCAAATAAGTGAATGAGTGAGTGAATAAGTGAATGCATGAGTGAATGAATAAGTGAATGTGTGAGTGAATGAGTGCATGTGAGTGAATAAGTGAGTGCATGAGTGAGTGAATAAGTGAATGTGTGAGTGAATGAGTGCATGTGAGTGAATAAGTATGTGAGTGAGAGATTGAGTGAATGAGTGAATGAATGAGTGAATGAGTGAGCAAGTGAGTGAATAAATGAATGAGTAAATGAGTGGGTGAATGAACAAGTGAATGAGTGAATGAGTGAATGAGTGAGCAAATGAGTGAGTGAATAAATGAATGAGTAAATGAGTGGGTGAATGAACAAGTGAATGAGTGAGTGAGCGAATGGGTAAGTGAATGAGCGAATGAGTGAGAGAATGAGTGAATGAGTGAATAAGTGAATGAGTGAATGAGTGAGTGAATGAGTGAATGAGCGAGTGAATGAGTGAGTGAATAAGTGAATGAGTGAGTGAATGAGTGAATGAGTGATGAATGAATGCGTGAGGGAGGGAGTCAGCAGGGAATGGGACCAGCCCAGGCATCCAGGGCACCTCATGGCCCAGGCAAGGGCCTCTGACATGGGAGGGCTGCCCCTGGTGATGGAGGCGTTCTGGGATGGGGGGTTCCAGCTCTGTGCAGCTCCTAGACTCGCCGTTACTGGGGCTGAGCTTGGGCTGTGCACACTCCTGAGTGTATCTGCAGGCAAGCGGGAGGTCGGCAACCCCACGGAGCGTCTGCTGGATGCTCTGCAGAGGGTGGGCTGGGCCCTGGAAGCTTGTCACTCTCTTAGTCCTCTCTGACCACCGCCACCCCTCCCCGGAGCCTCCATGTTCCTGATGCCCAGTGTTCTCCTCTTGGAGGGCTCCAGGGAGTCTGCAGATTCCCTTGGACACACCGGCCTCGGGCTGGGCCCTGCCTCAGCCACATAGCAGCACCAGTAGAGTGGGCGGCACTGACCCGGCATCCCAGGAGTGGGCAGAGGGGTCTGGAGGAGCCCAGGCTGAGCCGGGTGGGGCTGGGGAGCCCACTGCCTAGACAGGGCCAGCGCAGGGCGGGGGAAAGACAGGGAGGGCTGTGGTCGGCCCTGGCCAGGCCTGTGGCCCACACAGGAAGGCCCAGGAACATCTGGAGCCCCCCACGCCTGATGGTGGGACAGGTGGGTGGGAAGCTGCGCCCAGAGTGGAGGCGGTGACGTGGCAGGCACCAGCTCCCTGGTGACTTTCTGGGGCTCAGGGTCCTGCCCGGGCCTCCCACAGCTTCAGGTGGCCCCAGTGTCCCTCTGGGCCAGAGAGGGTCTCAGGGACCTGTGTACCCTGGGCGTGGTGTGGAGTAGCTGAGGGGCCGGCAGGGGGATTCTCCATCAGCAAGGTGGACGTAGGGGCCCAGCCTCATGTGCCTGTCTGGGTGGGCGCTTTTCCCAGCCCTCCTGGACTTCGGCCGCGCCCATTGCTCCAACCTCCCCCAGCCTCCTTTTCAGGTGCCAGGCCCGGCGGGGTGGGGTCTGGGGAACCGACCTTCCATTCTCAGGCGTGCAGCCGCGCTCCCTGCAGCTGCCACGAGGTGGCAGCACAGTCAGGCCCGGCACCCGTCGGCTCAGGCCTGGGCTCCAGGCACCGCAGAGCCAGGGGAGTCCCGGGTCTCAGCCCACATCCCTCACGGCCTGCCCATGGCCCTGGGAGGCTGAGGACACCCCTCACGGCTTACAGGCACATGGCAGCCTGGAGGGCTTGGGCTGGGCCGGAGGGCCGCGGCCCCTCCCGCTACTGTGTGCCTGGCCCTGTGAGGAGGCCCGGCCAGTCCCAGAGTCCCTCTTGCCCTCAAGCCACGTCTGCAGGCACTGGGAGGTCAGAAGGCAAGGCCGGCCCAGTCCCTGCACCAGGATTTTTGACCCAATGGCAGGCAGTGAGGCCTCCGTGGCTCCAGCGTTGGCTCACATCTGGGGGTTGCTTTGACAGGTCTCAGGGCTGGGGTGCCCAGGACCCCCCAGGTCCAGTTCTCCAACTGCCTGCCCACCCTGGCCCACTGTGTGCTCCCAGACACCTGGGCAGTGGGGCTGCCTCCGAGCCTGACTGCTGGGGTGAGCAGGTGGGGCAGAGGAGGCTCCCCAGCCTCGACCCATGTCCTCTTGGCGGCCAGGCGGAAGCACAGCCCGGGAACTCCCGCTCTAAGACCCGTCGGCTCCAGCGCTCTGCTGACCACCTGACCTCACAGCCGCAGGGCACCCTAACCAGCACCAGTGTGCCCGGGGTGGATCAGGTATCCTAGAAAGCTGCCAATTCCTCTCAGGGTAGGGTGGGAACGGCTGACTAATCCCCCACCCCCTGGGGTGAGCTTGGCCCCACGGCCTCCTGCCCGGCGCTCCCTGCCTGGAACACGGCAGAGTGGCCGGAGGTAACCAGATAGCAGGTCCCTGGGAGGGAGCAGCCGCCTCCCGGCTGCCCACCTGGGTCGCCACAGCCCCTGGCCCCGGTTATGCAAGTCGCCATTCCGGAAAGAGCCACAGAGATGGGTGTGGCCCCAAACACCTTGGCGGCTGCCAGCCTGCCCCTGCTCCCCACTCCTCCTGGACGTGAGCGGGAAGAGGCCAGGGCTGGCCTGGGTGGCCCCTGCCCCACCCCCCACACTCCCGTGCCAGGAGGCTGCCTGGAGTATGGCCTTGGCGGAGGCGTCACGTCGAGGCTGGACACTCATGATTCTAGGACCCCTCCAGGAGCCAAAACTTCCCCCAGGCTGATGGAGAAGGGGTGTCCCACCATGTGCCCAGGGAGTCCATATTGGGGCCCATACTGGGGCCAGGTCCCAGATAAGGGGACCTGGGAGGCTCCTGGCCATGGGGAGCAAGATGGACAGAGACGCAGGGCTCAGGGGTCTGTGACCATGGAGGGTGGGCTGTGCTCTCAGCCCCCTCCCAGCTCTCCCCAGCATGGCAGCACCCAGGGCTCCTGAGGAGCTGGGTCCCCGCAGTCGGCCACATCTTGGGGTGTGCACAGGCAGCAGCTCCGAGCTCTGGGCAGCAGGGTGGGTCCCCATGGTTGGCCACATCTTGGGGTGTCCCCAGCAGCAGCTCTGAGCTCCCGGGCAGCAGGGTGGGTCCCCGCGATTGGCCACGTCTTGGGGTGTGCACAGGCAGCAGCTCTGAGCTCCTGGGCAGCAGGATGGGTCCCCGTGATCGGCCACATCTTGGGGTGTCCCCAGCAGCAGCTCTGAGCTCCCGGGCAGCAGGGTAGGTCCCCGCGGTCGGCCACGTCTTGGGGTATCCCCGGCAGCAGCTCTGAGCTCCTGGGCAGCAGGATGGGTCCCCGCGATCGGCCACGTCTTGGGGTGTCCCTGGCAGCAGCTCTGAGCTCCGGGCAGCAGGGTGACTTCTTGGAGCAACCAGAGATCCAGGGCAGCTGCCTGGCCCAGGTGCAGAGAGATGGATGCTGCGGTGGCATGGATGCCAGCTGAAGCCCTGGGAGCAGAGAGACCTGAGGATGATTTTAAGGAGGCTGGGGCCAGTGTAGGGAAGCAGGGCAGCTGCCCGGGGCTGGCCACTCACCCTGGGCACAGCTCCTGCCCCCAGGTGTGCCTGTATTCAGGACGGGCACCGACTGTGTGCTCGAATGTCCCTAGGCAGGACCCGGAACGTGTTTGACTGAGGGACAGCCTCGTGGGGGACAAAAGACTGCAGAAGAGGTGACCACCTATGTAGAGAACCCGACTGAACCAACAGAGGAGCCATGGGTGCTGACGGGACAGCCCCACAGAGCCTTGGCTAGAGCGGCCCAAAGTCAGCGTGGTTCTTCCACACCCTGGACCACCACCGGAAAACGACCACGTCTCTGGCTGTGTGAAGCTGCGTAGTGAATGTCCATGTCTCCAGCAGCAGGCTGGAGGGATGCAGAGGAGGACTCAGAGACGGAAGGGGCATTGCACACACAGGCGTGGCTCCCCCAGGCCGATGGCAGCTGGTGAGAGCTTTGGAGGAAGTTGGCAAACTCGTAGAATCTACCCGGACTGAAAAAGGTCCTCAAATATCCAGGTGGATTTTGAAAGGCACGAGCAAAGAGTGCAGTGCCCTGCCACCCAGGAGGGCTCCCCAGCAATCATCGCAGGGAAAGCGCCCCTCCCCCTGGGCCACAGTGGCTTCCAGCAGCCGTGCTGTGTGGGCCGCCCCACGCAGGCCAAAGGGACCCACTGAGGGCCCGGTGAGGTGCCCGTGTCCCTGGGGCCTCGCCGTGTTGCAGGAGCAGTGCGCAGGGCTGTCGGCTCCTGAGCATCTGCTGGAAGGCCTGCAAGGTTTGGTCGCTGAGTGCTCACAGCTCAGAGCCCAGGGGTGGAGCCTGGCCCTCACAGTGAGCAGAGCAGACGAGATCACCGGGTGGAAGGAACCCCAAACTGGAGCTACAGGGCAAAATAAGCAGAAAAGGAGAATTCAAGATATTGGGGCTAGAACTGTGGGGGTGCTGACCAGAGCCTGCGGGAGCCTGGGGTGCGTGTGGGGTTGGGGGTGGCGGGACAGAGAGCCCCGCTGGGAGCAGGGCTGCAAGAGAGCCCCCAGCCAGGGTGGCTGGACCAAGGTGGGCCAGGAGGGGTGGATACAGAGGTGGCCAGGCCAGGCCGAGTGCGGCGGGCTTTGGAGGTCCCAGTAGAGGCACCTCGAAGTCTGCCTCAAATCCTGCTGCTTCTCACTCACCCTGGGGCTTTCTCAATGCTCATAAAACCCACCTGGAGGTCACACACAGGCTGCTGTATTTTTACAGAATAGAATAAAAAATAAAACCCCAGAGGGTGACGGTGACAAAGTATGTGCATCCTGGGCGCTGGAGAAAGACATTTTTATGACTGAGGTTCTGGGAGGCGTAGACACAGCGGCCCGGAGGACATGGAGAGCAGCAAGTTCAGGTCAGAAAGAAGGCGCCTGCAGGCAGGACTATGTGGCTGGGAGGCCGCAGTGCGTCCGGCGGCCCCGACACAGGCCCAGCGGGAAGGACGTGCTGGCGCCGCACTCTCTGCTCTCACCCGCCATCGTCGTCCGGACTGACTGTTTATCCGAAGGCGACGTGCACCCCTCACCGCAATCTCACCCCACTCCCTGCCTCGCACAACCATCCCTGCCCGGCCCGCCCACTTCTCCAAATGGGGGGCTCCTCAGCCCTCGGAGCCCACCCCTGGGGTCCCCCAGCCTTGGTGCCTTAGCTGGGACTGTGGGGTGAGGGCTTCTGTGCTGGCCCCACCCTCACCAGGTGAAGGTAGACAATGAAGACTGGGCCACCTGAGCTGTGGGGCCTGCGAGACTCAGAGGCCGCTGGCTGGGCCCCTGTCAATGGTGGAGGCAGCTCTGTCACCTCCGGGAGCTCGCCCTGCTCACGACCCACCACGTGCCACCCTAGTCCCAGACCCTGCAGGGGCCCTGAGAGCGGTGCTTACCAAACCAGAGGCAGAGGTCCTGAACCCCAAACCATCCAGACCCATCCCAGGCCAGCGTCCCACTGCTCCTCTCTGGCTGGGCTGAGCCAGAGGCTCATTCCCACCCGGGCAGGGTTGGGGGGCTGCTCCTCTGACTGTCCCACCCAGAGGGAGATCAGCCCTGATGCACCACCCCTGCAGGCCCCGGGGGCTCAGGCTGCCTCGCCCAGCACCCACCCTGGAGGCCTCAGATGCCTGGGCGGGGGCTGGCAGGAGGGTGCCAGGGAAGGGCCCCCAAGCTGATGTCCCCGGCCGATGGCTCTCAAGCTTCTACCCTCCCACGAAAGGATGGTTCAGAATTTAGTGAAAACTGAGAATCCACGTCCTGCTGGGAGGGGCCCTGGCAGGCTGGCTCCAGCTCACAGGGTTCAGGAAGAAGCCCCTGGGGGCAGGGAGGTCACCAGGCCACACCCTGGTGGTAGGATGTGCCTTAGGTCCCCAGAGCCAAGAGGCACTATGGCCT